>NC_000001.11:57129592-57281107 GCF_000001405.40 Homo sapiens | reverse complement strand
GCAATATTTATTGAATGAATAAGGGAGTAAATGAATGAACTTACGGCCACGAAAAATCTCACCTGAGTCCCCTGGATTCTAAGGAGTCTCACAGCACCCTGTACTTACTAAAATTATCACACTTTCCCCATTTTTTCTATAATTATTTTTCTTTTTTCTATGCTATGCCATTAACTATGAGTTCCTCACCTGGTACACTTGGCACAAGGTAGGTAATCAGTAAATGTTTGTTGAATTAATTATTATATAATGTGGGGGAGAATTATTTGCACAAGGAGAAAAAAAATTTAAAAAAATCTCCCCTAAGAGTTGGCTCTTGAGATTCTTATTATGTGGCATTCAAAATTCCTACAATTCAGACAGCTACTTCTCCTTTTGTGATGTGTGTCCAATCATGTCTGGTGCTGTAATTTACCGTGATGTAGGCCATATTGGTAGTAAGAGCTATAAGATTTGCCATATTAGTTCATCCCACTGCTTCATTAAGCTCAGTGTGCTGCCTCTGGCAGTGACTGGGCCTGAATTTTTATGTTTGGAAGAACAAAGCTCTTCACATTAGCCCTCTGAGTCCTTGATATGCTGTGAGTCTGGTTACGTATATGCTCTTTCACGGAGCTGGAGAGTCTTTGTCTTTGCAGATAGTCAGTAAATGACTCAGAGGATGGGATTTCATTATTTGTGTAAGTTTGCTGAGCAGACAATGTTCCCAGGTGTGCTGAGATTTCAGCAATCTCCTATTGCAACACACCTTCTAGGATGGTCAGAGTACACATGTTTGCAAGGCTGAGTGTTTCTGCAGTCCATCAAAAGAACACACATAGATCAAAGGCAGAGGAGAGGCAAGAGCAGAGGTGAAGGAGGAACCAATATCTATTGTTCATGTGTCCTTGTGTCCATGTTTTCTCATTTAAGCTTGAAAATAGCCTTTAGACAAGTATTCTCATTCTGTGTAAGAGGCAACTGAGGCTCAGAGAGGTGCATGGCTTACTTGAGGTCACACAGGTAAAGGGACCCATTTACACACAGATCTTTCTAACCCCAGAGCCTGTCCACGTTCTTAACCCTGGACTAAACTTCTCTCCACTGAATGATATGTCCTCTTACCAAATACTAAGTTGTGCTTGCACTGAAAGATGTCCTCCTACAGGTTCCAATAGTAATGCCTTTAGGTTGAGATGGCCTCAGCAAGAGGAGGGAATGATGATAAAATATGTTGTATAGTTAGAAAAGAAGTTAAAAAGCCATGGGAAGCCCCTTCACTTCACATCTCTTGTCTGTGACTTGCAGAAGGTTGTCATGCACAAGTCTCCACATGATTGAGAAGGAAACATTTCCTAGATATAAAAAGGTAAAGTGAAAATGAACTTGAAGGATTTTGACTATGTATAAATTGAAATGTACAATCAGCCCTTTGTGACTGTGGGTTTCACATCTGTGTATTCAACCAACTGTGGATAAAATCCTGAGGCTATGGAGGGCCAACTGTGTGTGTTTTCCATCTGAGGTTGTTTATCCATTCATCCATCAGTGGACATTTGGGCTGCCTCCACCTCTTGGCTATTGTGAATGATGCTGGTATGAAATGAGTATACAGCTATCTATTCGAGACCCTGCTTTCATTCCTCTTGGATATAAAGTCAGCCACCCTCCATATCTGAGGTTCTGCATCCATGGATTCAACCAACATTGGATAGAAAATATTAGGCAAAAAATACAACAATTAAAAAATAATACAAATTTTAAAATGCAAGTATAATAGCTATTACATAGCATTTTCTTTGCATTAGGTATTACGAGTAATCTAGAGATGATTTAAAGTATACTACAGGATTACATAGGTTGTATGCAAATACTATGCCATTTTATATAAAGAACTTGAATATCTTTAGATTTTGTTATCTATGGAGATCCTGGAGCTAATCCCCATGGATATGGAAGATATAATGTTATATTAAAGGAAAACATCATTTCTATCTCTTAATTTGGAGCAAGCACTGTAAAAGTGAAGACCAGGAAATTTCGCAAATTCCCCAAATCTATGAATAATATCATCAGCCTAGTTCACCTCCCAGCGGGCATCCCCAAACCTGAAATAATAACGAGGATGCTGGTGATGAAGGTAGCTACTATCTGTCAGCAATTGCTAAGTATCAGGCAATGTATTCAAACCTTTATATCTGTTTTCTCATTCAGATCATTCCTATGAGGTAGCTGCTTTTTAAAAATCTCAGGTTTACAGATGAGGAAGGTGAGAAGCTGGAAAGACGACACAAAGTCAGTGCTGTAAGGGCCCTGCAGTTCTGTCTCACTAATCAATACAGCAAATGTTGTGTGTCCCTTCTAAACACCTTGCGCAATTTGAACACATCGCCTTGCTTGCCCCCCTTTGAGCATGCATGGATTTGCTTCAGCTCTCCTCTCAGCCTGGAAGAAGTTCCCCTCTCTCTTTTTGGCCTGTCAAAGTCCTCCTGCTCCTCTGAGACATAGCTCAGATAGCACTGCCATAGAGCTCCTCCTCAGAATCCCTCTCCTTCCATGGAATTAAGCCTTGTGATTCTCAGTGTACTGTTTTCACTCCAGATGAAGCTCTTATTCCTTTCTTCTGTTCATTAGGATTCCGCTTTATAACCCTTTCTTCCCTTCTATATTGTGTGTTCAGCTGAGTCTTATTGACAAGGACTGTGTCTTTTCTATCATTATATCATCTGAAAGCTGGGAGGAAGAGAAGTAAAGAGTTATCAGTGGAATGTGGGAAATGATATTAATGATGTGACTACTAAATGCCAGGGAGGGAATACAATAACTTTTAAAATCTTCACAAGAGAATTATGAGTTTGATAATACTCCCATTTTACAGATGAGAAAGCATACTCAGATAAGTTAAGATTATGTTCAATGTCACCCATCGTGTAAATAGAAGGACAGGTATTTTAATTTGGATCTGATTCAAAGCACAAGCTCTTTCCGCTACACCATGCTGTTTCCCAGCAGAGACCATCAAATAAAACCCCAGTGAAAGCTCACTTCCTAGGGGTCTGGTTCCTGTTGTAAAATGGTAGCTACAGATGCAATTTACCTTTATAAAGGATTTATATGTCATCATTGCAGATTCACATTCCTTAAATTTGGGACTATCATCACTTGAGTCTTTCAGCTTTCCCTGGCTGGCAATACTGCTGTAGGGAGAACTTGCATTCTAATTGTTAAACCAGAGGCAAGACACACCATGCTGGGACTTGCACTGGAAGAAGCCCAGTAGATGATGAATGGCAGACCTGAATCTTATCATGTATTTCAGGATGATGTACGGGACTGTTGGAAACTGCCTTTGACAAATGTGCACGGGAAGGAGAATTATCTCCAACAATGAAAAATGTTCTTATTATGTGATCCTAAAAAGGATCAGGACCCCTATCATTGGGAAAATGATCATGCCCATATCCCTTATTAACAGTGATACAGAAGCATGTGCTAAAGACATTGAATGTCATTCTGAAGCAGTGATGGATAGTCATGAGAGCTGAAATCAGGTTGGTCTTATGAAAGGTAGCTTGATGCTTGATAGCAGGTGGGAATCGTGCAACTTGCTAAGGTCTCTTTTAGCCCTTGCTTCTTGAGGCTCTGCAAGACTTGTTTCTGCTGTCTTAGCCAGTGCCCAGTGGCTTTTGGTCAGGTTGAGGCTGTGATTAAATACTAGAAGATACATGATATATATGTTTGTAGGAAAAAAAACCGTTTTCATAGGGAGAAGACTAATGTACAGGCATTTTAAATATTACTCTCAGTTTATTTTCATATTTTATATGAATAGAGTCATAGAGATTTAGTATCCTGCCCACAGCTAGAAACTAGCAGAGTTAGGATTTAAACCCAAGCAGTCTGGTTTCAAAATCGATACTTTGTTGACCATAGTAGCTTCTAATAAATACCTTCCTGGTTGGAGTTCAAAATCGTGGAAAATGAAACTGCTGAGTACATGTGTGAAGGTGCCTATCGCGGACTTTAGCACGTCATAGGTGATCAAGAGATGCTAGTCAAATCAAGAATTGTCAACATGGTAATTTTGTTAAGGGCTAAGTGATGATTACAGAGTTCTTTGAATTCCTTCCTTTCTTCCCTTCTTTTCTTTTCCTTCCTCCCTCTTTCCTTCCACCTTTCCTTCATTCAATTTTTGAGCATTTTTCAAAACCTGGCAGAGTGCTGGCCACAGAAGATTATGGAGAAGTCCTGAGTTCAAGGAACTTAAAATCTAATAAGAAAGAGAGACAAATAAGAAACAATTATAGTTTATTATAGTAAGTTGAAATCACTTAGCAGAGACAACCAACTATCCAAGGACTTCCCAGAGGTTGTGAGATTTAAATAAACATTCTTGGGGTTCAGATTTATTTATGATTTTTAGTTCCATAGTTACTTTGTGAAATATCTCCTGTTATTGAAGATCTGTAAACCCCCACTTGTGAAAAACAAATCCTACCCTATCCTCCCGTGAAAGGAAGACTAGCAGATCCTAAATCTTGCTGGACAATAACTTGTTCCTGCCTCTTCTAGAGTAAAAGCTACCTCACATTACAAACATATTTTATTCATTTCGTGTTATGCATAGGGCCAGGTGCATAATATGTGTTCACTAAACATTTGTTGAACAGTATTCTATGTTAAATAGGTAATTCATTGGCCTTTGGCCTACATTTACTTATAATCAGTAATTTATATTCAAGTAGTTTTTCTTTGATGTTTTGAAGTAATGATTACAGCAGTTTCTCCTCCTGCTCACAAAGTTATAGATTGCAAATAGATTTTGTGTAATTTGCCAATCCTGGTCGATTTTAATGGCTGCCTTGAGCGCTATGGAGAGGATTCTGAAATTATGTCCTGGCGATGAGTGAGAACAGTTAACACTTAGGTATATTTTCTTTCAGTATTTTTCTCCTGCACACTACTGTGTGCACACAAGCGTGCAAACACATGACATCCTGTCTGATCCTTCTGTGTATTTAATTCTGTATTACTTTTTCACTAAACCTCACAATTTAAGCTATTCTCATATCATAAACTTTTTGCAATATTATCATTTTGCTAAGTGATCTAATTTTCTTTAGCTTTTTCTCACAAAACCTCTCTCTCAATCTTTCTGTCATTGTTGCCATTTTTATTGGTGCATTCCCAAATTTGTCAAATCTTGCTTAAGCTGTGGTGTTACAGAACTGCTTTTAGCAGTTGTTGGTTCATTTCTATTTTCATCCTTGAACGGATACAGTGTTTATCTTCTGTGTTTTGCGGGCAGGGGAAGATGCTAATTTGTTCTCCTGTAGTGAGAAGAAACTGAGACTTTGGAGTGGGCTCCCCTTTGCGGGCATGTCACCACTGGGGACCACCACTCTAGTAAAGCACGGGAATTAAGATTTGCCAATGAATGGCTGTGAACCGGAGTGTGCTTTGCTGTTCAGATCTTTTAACCTCAGCTTATCAACTTTAATATGTTGTCCTGGTGTCTTGATTTTTTGGTTCATCTGTTTTAATGCGATGAAATGTAAAAATAGAGCTTAGTTTTGTCCCCTCACAATGACTTTAGGGGTTTTTAGCTGATAACCAACCCTTCTTCTGTAAAGGATTCAAATTTTAAACAGCTAAAAATACATTTTTCTAATATCTGTCATCAAGTGATTAGTGCAACTATTTAGTTCTGGTCATCTTTCCTATTCTTGGTAGATTTATATTCTCTTCTTAGAATTCTACTGCCGCCCTCTCTGTCTGGGAGACTGGAGATGTCATTTAAACATTGCTTATTAGGATTCCATTATTTGTCTCTCCTATACAGTCAGCTAAATCAAAAAGTCAGACAGTGTTTTTAAATTGCAAATTTAAATGACAATTTTTAGGCCAGGTCTACTGGAAATTTTCTGTCCTTGGCATCCATCATTGCTTGTGAGTATATAGTTTTATATTCTCTCTCTCTTTTTCTCTCTATCCTTTTCTCTTTATCTTCTTGAGAGCACAGCACACATATCCATCAGAAGGATCAGAACTGCTTGCAATCAAACAAAAATGCAATAAAGATCTTGGAAGGAAATTAAGACAAACACCTATTCTAGACCTTGCTTACATATTAGTTCTCTTCCTCCTCCTTATGCTCCCTTGCCTCTTAAAGAGGAAACTTGCATAAGACAATTTTTTTTTAAGCAGTTAAGCCCATGGCTTAGATTAAAAAAAAAAAAAAAAATTTGGCTGAGCGCGGTGGCTCACACATGTAATCCCAGCTCTTTGGGAGGCCAAGGCGGGCAGATCACCTGAGGTCAGGAGCTCGAGACCAGCCTGGCCAACATGGTGAGACCCCATCTCTACTAAAAATACAAAAAATTAGTCAGGCGTGGTGGTGCTCGCCTGTAGTCCCAGCTACTTGGGATGCTGAGGCAGGAGAATCGCTTGAGCCCAGGAGGCAGAGGTTGCGGTGAGCTGAGATGGCGCAGCTGCACTCCAGCCTGGGCAACAGAGCAAGACTCCATCTCAAAACAAAAAGAAAATCACTGAAAGCCTGGAATATGCCAGATAATGTTATTTCAGTTAATCTGCATGAAAAAACCAATAACAATATGGTACTATTGTGATGGCTAGTATTTATTGAGCGCTTACTATGCATCAGACACTCTTCTATGTGTTTTTTGTCTTAACTTATATAAGACACTCGTCTGGATTTTTAAAAGAGGAAACTGAAATTTGTGGGAGGCAACTTGCTCAGGGCCCACAGCTGAACAAGTGGTGAAGCATCAGCCTCTGACTTAGAACATTGTCTACCACACTAGCCTCTATCTTATTTTCAGTAAGATAATTTGCGGGCTATTTAGTATCTCTGCTTTATAAGAATGACAGGTTGGAAAGCCTTCTCACTATGCCTTACTGAGTTTTAATTTTTAACAGATTGGGTTAGAAGAAGAGGGTGGCTTTAAACCTTGAAATCATCTTCTTTTATCAGTCCATTTTCTCTGGGATCAGAGCAGATTGGCAAAGCATTATGATCTTCCATTTCAAAGCTGAAGGATTATCCATCTCGATGGGTGAAATCATCTCTAAAATCCTTCTGAAGCCAAATGCCGAGGTTGGTACATTTCAGAAAATGCCTGTGGTACCCAATAACTTCAGTGAGGAAAATTAATAGGGTGAGGTTTGCATCTGGAAGGCCTATGTGTAGGAAGTGGACTCACCGCTGGCCCTGGGTCAGACTTTTCCTTTCCAGCAGGGCCTTGAAGGTCTTCTTTCTGTTCAGTCTCGACTCACTAGGCTCCATTGTCAACAGTAGATGGAGCAGTCAAGGGCTGGTGAGATTCCAGTCAAACATAGGAGGTGAGGACAGGGGAGGAAAAGACATTCTCATGTCAGTGAGGAAAAATAGGGAAGCAGCCAGGGGCGGCTAGGGGAGCCATCAGACCACAATGCATGTTTGACTCGAGTGGAGAAGACAGGGAGGGAGGGAGGGAGGGAGGGAGGGAGGGAGGGAAGGAAGGAAGGAAGGAAGGAAGGAAGGAAGGAAGGAAGGAAGGAAGGAAGGAAGGAAGGCAGGCAGGCAGGCAGGCAGGCAGGCAGGCAGTCAGGCTTGGTGGATGCATCTTAGATGTTGGCGCTGTCCTAAGGCAACTTCAGCCAGGTCTTATTGGAGTACTTAAGCCAAAGTTGCTTAGCAGAGGAGTTCCCTGTCTCCTGGGAAAGGGCCTGCCTGAGAATCCTGCCCTGCTTTGTCACTGGCTGGGAGTGGCCTATGGGAAACATGTTCCTCTTGCAGACATGAAGAAGGGTGTCTGAATGTAGCAGGTAGAATGCTTTGTCAGTTCCTTTCCCTGTTAGGGGAGGTTGGCGAGGTGCATTCTCGTGACTCCCACATTAAAACAAATGGATACTCAAAATACTCAAATATCATAAGTTGCCATAAGACATCCCCTCTCACTTCAATTCACTACCATCTGGTGGAAACTGACCAGTTATATTTCTTTTCTCATGCCAGCCCATGCCACATAGGCAAAGATGGGTTAAAAGGTGGTGCAAATAGAAGTTGAGGTCCCAGAGTCTTTGGTCACTTGGCCCAGAAATTTCCAGAACATTTTGACCTTTCATAGTTTGCAAGGGCTGAAATGGGGGGGAACAGAAAGCAGCTATTACATTGATAGCCCAAGAGGGAAGCCCTGGTATTCTTCCCACACTTTTCTTATTTCTTCTTATCACAAACAAAGGAGAATGCTCATCTTGCCACCAGCCTATCCTGACCCCTACTGCCCGCCCCACACCCAACCCACTGTGCTAGGAAGGCTGAAAGTTGTATTTCTTGAACACCTCTCTGATGGCCAGCCACGTGTGTAGGAGCCTTATTTAAACTCACTCTCTTAACACAACAACCAGTGAGGTAGGTATTCTTCAGAGCCCAGTAATTGCATTACTGTCTTTAGAGTTACAAGTTGATCAGTCAGTCTGCCATTTATTTATTAAGCTATGTGGCCTGGAGCAGGTTCCAAATCCTCTAAGCCTCCATTTCCTAACACATAAGATAGGAGTGATAGGACCCATCTCTCAGAGAGACAATTTAGACTAGATGAAATCATGTATGTAAGTGCCTCAGTTTGGTGTATATTTAGTGAAGTGCTAGCTTACTGCTATTGTTACTATGAGAAAACCAAAGCCCAGGCAGCAAGGCTGATTCTTGGGACTCTAAAGTTTGTGAGAAGTGGGATGTGCAATGTTGTGTGGGATGCGCATCCATCCTGCCTGGCTCTGTGCTAGATGTGGCAATACAGGAGACACCCACTTCAGCTTTCCTGCCTTTTAAGAAGTTACAGCTCAACACTTGAATGGTCTCCAGGCGTGTGGTTCTACTTTATGGCTTTAAGGCTGAATGCTCAGCCTTCACATTGGCCTCCTCTGGAATCATGCAGTTGTTTAGAATGTAACCCACTCATGAAAAAAGCAATCTGGAAAGCTGGCTCTCCTGAGGGCTTGGAGCCCCGCACTAGAAAATCAAACGCCAACATCTCCCTTCAGGAGTCTCTCCAGAGTTATTTATCTTTGCTCTTTTCAGACACCTGCTTCATGCTTCTTTCTCCCTGTGTTCAGACTTGCCTTTGTTTGTCACTGTGCTTGTGGCCAGCTTCTCCATCCAAGATCCCATCTGCACCTGAGTTACAGGGTTCCAGTTCCAGATTCTAGACAGTGAAAATCTGTAAAGCTCAGCCCAGCTCTGATGGTGGCCACCTATAGTCTATTCAAGAGTTTGGAACAATCAGTGTGACAGTAGTGATTACAGCCCACCCTGTGGATGATTGGTAGGAAGGGTGAGGCACGTACTGAACAGGTACAACTACCAAACAAAAATCAGCCTAGATGGCACTTCCTCCAGGAAGCCTTCCTAGACCCAGCCAAACACAGATAATCAGGCCCTCCGCGGGGCTACTTGGATACTGACCTCTAGTACAGTAGCTCTCACAGTGTGCTGTACTGTACTTGCCTCATCCCTATGTCTGTCTCTCTACCAGACCATGTCCCCTGAGGGCAGGGATGGGAACCAGTTCTTCACCAACCCTGTGAAGCTGTGCTTCCCAACCTGGAACCCGATGCCTGTCGCAAAGTCGGTGTTCAGTAAGTCTTTACAGGAAGTGAGTTTCATCAGGGAAACAGACAAATAATTGCACCACACAATGAGAAGTACTTCCCAGTGGCAACACGAAGCAGTCATCCTGCCAAAACCAGTTGTTTTTCCTTCAAAATACAGTAAACACCAGTGAGGACAGAGGCAGAGTTCCAGTGCAGCTTTTCACATACAGTCATGTTCTGTTTCTTTGATCCCAAACTCCTTTAGATTTTGAATCTTAAAGAGCCTGCTGCAGCTATCCACTTAATAGCCATCCGGCACCCTATGTGTTCATGCCAATTAGCTTGGGAAAGATGAAAACTTGGGGGACTTAATGAGCTGAGCTGGCACCTGTTCACTTAGCACTCCAGCCTGCATCTTTTGAGCTGCTTACACCAACTGGATGGTGTCAGGTTTAACCTTTCTGGGGAAAGGCTTACAGAGGCATTTTTGCATTAGCGTCTTCCAACTTTTATACTTTGGGTGACTGACCTAGAGATTATGGAGTGAAAGTCTTTGGAAACTTGGACTTATACTGTACCCACACTCCCTCACCCACCCCAGTCCCTGCTCATTACAGATGATGGTCTGGGTTGTGGGGGTGGCTCAGGTATGATGTTTCCAACAGGCCCAAGTTTGAATCCTAAACTTGTAGGAGCTGTGTGATAGGGCCAAGCAAGGTGCCTGGCACTAATAGGTGCTCAGTGAGTATTGGTGGAGGGAGGCTCCCTCAACACAATGCAGTATCACAGATGAAAGTGTCCACTCTATGAGGACACTCCTGTGTTCATTGCAGGGTCACCAGCACCTACGTCAGTGTCCAGCACCTAGTAAGTGCTCAGTAAGTATTTGTTGAATGAGTGAATGGACAAATAATGAAGAGTATTTAAGAGCTTTAGCAGGAAAGAGACCTGGATTTGAACCTTGCTTCTCCCACATCTGAATGTGGTGAATATGGGCGATTTACTTCTCTCTCAGACTCTGGTCCTTCATCTGTGATAGGGAAGAAAGACCAATGCCTCTTATGGTTTTGGGCATAGCTATGAAGCACTTAGTATGCTGTCTGTCACATGGTAAGTACTAAACACATAGGTATTCTTAGCAACTTTTTAATTAATGGAGTAACTTTAAATAAATTGTTTGATACCCACATCTCAGTCTATTAATTTATAAAGTAAAAATACTACTGTCTGTTCCACAGGGCTCTTATGAAGAATAATGCAATATGGCATGCAGAGTATTTGAATGCCCAGCATGGGCTCAGAGCTCACTAAATGGTGGATGATGCCATCACTATTAGTAGAAGACTTGGAAGGCTCAGACAGTAACCACGCATCTCTCAGAGTGGCGTGCAGGAGGAAGAGGGCATGTTTGGAGAGGAGCTTGTCTGTAGCTCTGGGATGTGGCAGAAGCTTTTGTGGGCAGACATCCAGTGCTCGGGCTCTCCTTTGCCTTTCACCCTGAAAGAGCTCGGGCTTTTCAAAGGGATCCCAGGCTGTATTGTCAGACGTTCACCTAGCAAGCTGTTCTTTTCAGTAGATCGACTTTTGTAATTCTCGTGACCAAATGCCAAGCGTTCTTTGCCCAAAACCTCTTAATCCTTTGATCTTGTCTCAGTCACAGGAAATGATTGTCTGCTACCTCCTGCCATACATGATTTAGGGAGGATTACCGGGCAACAACCTCAGTCCCTCTCCAACCTTCCTCTCCCCCACCTGCCAGTCACTCCCTAACATGAAATCCTCCTCATCTCCCTGGTGTCTGGAAAATATTCTCGGGAGAAAAAGAGTTAAGCAAGTTGGGGTGAAGTAAAGTGCATCTCAGGGTGAGAGGTTGGAGGGAGTATTCAGAAAGGAGTGGAGGAGGGCGTAAATCTGAATATCCTACATTGTTAAGTTAAAGAAAACCTGTGCATGGGTTCAGGTAAGCAGAGACGCCCCTGGACATACCTACGTAGGGCCTCATTGAACCACCTGCCTGACCTTCATATTTGTTCTGTGAGTGGCCAGGGAGGGGGGTGACAGCTTCAGGGGGCTCTTACCAAAGAGAGCCACAGAGTATGAATGTCTTGCTTGAGACCACAGGGTAAACCAGTGGCATCTTTGAGATGGGATCCCAGCTTCTTCTGATTGGGGTGAATTCTTCTGTCAGCAAGAACAAGGGCTGAGAAGTTAGACAGGTCTGGGGTGCTTGTCACTCAGATTCACCCTCCATCCCTGCATGGCAAGGCTTTCTGTATATCCCAGGGAGCTGGAACTCTATTTTGCTGTGCTCTCCTGACAAGGGGATTGGGGGTCAGCTCAACAAATGGGAGGTGCTGGTGGGAGACTGGAGGTTGGGCCAAAGGTAGAAGTCCAGCACTTCTACCTCTCCACTTCCGGTTGTGGCTCTGACAGTGGCTGTATCTCCTCTGTGGATCCAATTCCCACAGGTGGCTGCCCTCTCTCGATCTCTCTAAAGTAACTCCACCACAGCCCCAGCCACCTTCCAGTGGCCCCATCTCCCTGGCTCGGTCATGGCACCTACTTCTTTTGTTGCTCTAATCCCAGGGCTGGTAGCACCTTCCTGCTCTTGCTAATCCTTGGATCACTTCCTCTTTCCCTGACTTTTCAACTTCTCCAACACCATTGTAAAGGTTCCTTACATTAAATTCTGTGAATAGCTGGCAAGTGCTCAGTTTGCCTGACTGGCCCTTGACAGATCATCTGTGTTTAAATCCTAGCTCCGCAAGCTACTTAACCTGTGAAGCCTCTGTATTCACTCATAAAATTGGGATTTTAGAATTAGAATTATGTATGTATGGAACCTAATAGAGGGCTTGGCACATAGAAGGTATTTAATGACTGACAGCTCTCCTTATTTTATTACAAGTCATTTAGGAAGAGAGTAAGGTGCTCTCAGGGAAGAAACCTGGTTTTTTTATTTTTCACCTCCTACCAGGATGTCACACACTTATTAAAGGAAATAAACTTAATAAATACAATTATATATCTCACTGGAATGGGTTGGATGAATTGAGACTGCCAGTATCATTCTGGGACTTTTAAAGGAGGATTCACAAAGAGTTATCTGGATTTTCTAGTGACATTATATCAATATTTCCACATTGGAAGCCCACTTTAAATGTTAATTGCCATAAGGTTAACAAACAGAAAATATCACGGCAACCTTTGGAAGGTCCTTCTTTTGCAGCAGCATCATCAGTTTTTTGTTTTCTGTTTCTGTCGCTATTTCTTTCTCTTCCCCAGAGTGATTGTCAAAGCTGAATCCTTGAACAGTTCTCAGTGATCGTGGCTGCACTCCGGGTGCACACCGCCTGTTCCCTGCATCAGAATTCTTGAGGGAGTGGCCAGATGCTCCTTGCTTTGGGGTAGGGAATTGTAAGGTTTCATTAGTCACACTTGCTAAAAGTGTAAAACCTCTGGTGGGCTTGTTGAACATGGAGAAATCCCTACATGTAAATATTTATGGATTAGGAATCAAATATTAAATATTTACTTCAGCTTCTTGGAATTATAAATGATTTAATAAACCCTGTGGGGAGTTGGAATGGCTTTGGTTTAGAACCAACTCTTATATTTAATTGTTTTCCCACTCTCCGCTCTCATAGCACAGCAGCATGGGGGAGCGTGGGATACCCATGGAAAAGACAGAGAGCCCAGCTGTCAAGTTGGGGTTTGGTTCTTGTTATTTTCCCTTCTGTGTTTCCCGATATGTGTTTTGGAGTGGGCATTTATCCAATACCATAAGAGTAAAACCCATGCCCTTTGGTGCTCTGGACCTCAGTCCTACCGTGTAGTGCAATGACCTGAAGCATCTGTCAAAAAACAAAAACAAAAGCACAGGTGCCCCAAAATTCAGAAAGGTAGAACCAGAGGTAGAACCTGGGCACCTGTATGTTTCAGGTACTCGGGCTGCGAAGTGCTGGAGGCATCTTTCTCCAGAGGCTGCCCTTGGGAGGGATTATGATACCACAGACAGTATGAAGTCTTCTTCGGCATAAGACAGGTTCAGATCTGAATCTCATAGCTTAGAGAAAACACTTCCTCTCTCAACTTCAGCTTCCTTGTCTTTATGACAGAGATTGAAATATCTCTCCGTGTTCATTTCCTGAGGCTGTTGTAACACATTATCACAAACTGAGTGGCTTAAAATAACAGAAATGTACTTTCTCAGCGTTCTGGAGGCCAGAAGTCCACATCACAGTGTGGGCAGGGTTGCACTCACTCCCTGTGGAAGCTCTTTGCTCTCTGCCTCTTCCTGCTCTCGGTGGCCACTGGCATTCCTTGGCTGGTGGTTGCATCTCTTTCTGCTCTGCCTTCACGTAGCCTTCTCTATGTGTCTCTTATGAGAACACTTATTATTGGACTTAAGGCCTACCAGAATAATCCAGGATGATCTTTCATCTCAAGATTCTTAATTTAATTACACCTGCAGAATTATATCTTTTTCCAAATTTGTTCACATTCATAGGATTGGTAGATTAGGACATGACAGTACCTTTTTGGGACCACCATTTAGCCCACTACAGTATCTAAAGGGCTGACATGGTGTGTCACTGACATCAGTTGAGATTGTTCAGTGCCCATACCATAAATTTACTTAGAGCAAGTCTATTTTGTGGAATTGTTGTGGATGATAGAATTATATGAACCTACCCCTGCATCGGGGACAGGGTATCATTCATTAAACAGGAGCTTCTTTTATTATAGTTTACTAAGTATTTATACATATTGCTCATCATTTCTTTGATCATATATCCATTCATTCAGTATTCATTCATTTCATTAATTTATTAAGTACCTGTCTGCCATTGGACAGTCAGTAGCCAGACCCTGAGGATATTAAATATAAAACAGTGTTTCTTGAAACACAAACTCGTTGTGAGGATAGATAACAAAATTGCTGTAGTCCAGTATGATAAGCACCTTTATAAAGGTATTTGCCAGGGATTAAAGGAATGATAAATGTACCTGGGAGATTGGAGAAGGCTTCACAGGGGAGGTGGCATTGGGCCTAGATCATAAAAGTTGATTAGAAGTTTATTAAACAAAAGGAATTCATGAGTGAATCATCTGAGACACTCCATGTATTGAGATGCAAGGAATCATAGTGTTTTGGAGGAATGATGAGAAATTCAGGATGCTGGAGCTCAGGGTTCATATAGGGGAGCAGTAGAAATGAGACAGGCATGGGAAACAAAAGCCAGATGTCATTTGCTACTCATGAAGGGAAAATATTATTAATCCTATTTTACTCATGAAGAAAAAGAAATTAATTTGCCCAACATCACATACTTGGTGAGCAGGAAACTTGTGCCCACTTTCCTGCCTCCCCTTTTTCTGATAGCCTTGTGTAGGTATCCCTCAGTGCGGTTCTTCCCTTGTGTGCAGATGACTCTGCTTGTTTTTTATTCCCTCTAAATTGGGAGTCCCTTGATTTCAGGAGCCATGCCTTGTGCCTAGCATGGGCCCCTGGCCTGCCTCATGTGTGGCACTCAACAGCCATGGGTAAGTGAATTTTACTGCAGCAGCAATTCTGGCATCAAGCAGAGGAGCTGGAGAAATTATTTCTGAAGTCCTCTCTAATCTCAAGCTTCTAGACTGAGTTTGCTTACATGAGAAGTTGAGATTTTTGTTTGGGGTCAAAATACATAGATACCACCTGGGACCTATTGCTGCTTATTTCTCTGGGGGCAAGGGACTAGTTCCACTCCAAGCCTGCTCTCCGTCTGTCACATGCTTTTTTATTGGTTTACATGTATAGATCTATTTATATTGGCCGTCCACGAGTGCTGGTTTTTCAATAATTCATAGAAACTTTGCACAAAATTAATCTACAATGAGAACTCAAACTTGACTAAAGCCAAACCCCTTGCCTGGGAATGTCTTTGTTACTGACGGCATCCGTTTGAGCTGCTTTTAGTGTTTTGTAAGTTCTGAATTCTCCTTTAAGAAGAGCCAGATTGAGGAAATCATTAATCTCTGACAGTTGTGTAGATATAATTAAAGATATATGAATATAAAAATACCTGCTATCTTAAATTACTTCCTAAAAGAACAGGGAGGGGGAAAGAGAGTTCTATTTAAAATGTCAGATACAGACGCATTAGGCTGGGTAGTCAAAGCACTGTATGTCTGTCACTCATGAAAACTGACAATTAGGTCCATAAATAGATTTTACAGGCTTCCACACAAGAACGCACATCCTGCACATCTCAGGCGCATAAAAATGAGAAACATGGATGGCAGTGGCTGACTCACCAGAAGAGAGAAGGGTTTGAGAGATGGTGAATGAGATGCTTTGAGAAAATTCACCGTGTCTGGAGGCTGGGTGTGGGGCGCATGGGAGGAGGGAGCCCACTGGGGTACCAGGAGAGCTGGGCATCCCATCCTGGGGCTGCTGTTCCCTACTCAAGGGACTCTGGCCAGTATCCTCATCTCCCTGGATCTGTTTTCTAAGCCGCAAAATGAAATTCAGGTAAATTCAAGGTGAAACCTCCACTATTCCTACTTCTAAGGGTTATTTAAGGGGAGGATTAAATGAGGTTACAGTAAAACTCCTTGGAAACAGACAAAGACTACAAATGTAAGCAGTTATTTTTTCTGAGATTACTATTGTTGATATTGACAGCTGAGATATTTATATATGCACCATGAACAGATACAGTGGGTGATCAGAAAGCATCTTAAGACCAAGACATCAGGGAATCAAAGAAAAATGCCAGATAGTAAAATTGAACTTTCCTCACCTTTGGTAGTAGGGAATTGACCCAGGGTGAGTGAGAGCCTGGGAGGGTGGGGAGATCACGAGACCTGCTCTCAATGTTTAGGCGTCATGTTCAGGGGTCCTCATTCTCTAGGGGTTCAACCTTGTTTAAGGTACAGGACATCACTGACCATCAGTTTCCCTTTCCACAAAATGAGGCTCATCATTCTATAATTGCCTCTGCAGGATTGCCGTGAGATCAAATGAAATCAGGGCTATGTATGCGGAAATTGTACCAATGCGGAATTTGTCCTTGAAAATATGACCATGATCAGATTAGAAAGATATCAGAATACCCATCCTCCATTCTATCAATCATTCTCTCATTTATTCACCTTATTCAATGATCATATGTTGAATTTACTTATTTATTATGTTTCCTGTTGAGTATCTGTTTTCCGTGATAGACTGTAAGTTCTAACAAGGCAGGAAATTTTTTTGTGTGTTTTGTTCATTGAGGAGTCTAAATGCCTAGAAGAATTTTCTGTGTCTAGTAGGTGAACAATAAATATTTAGTGAATTAAGTCTATTATGTTTTAGATACTATGATGTGAGGTACATATACAATGAGATACAGAAAAGAAAAAGAGTTCACAGTTTGGGAAGCTGGGTTGAGGAGACATATTAATAAATGGATTAATGCAAAAAGTCAAGAGTATAGCATGATATATATGGAAGATATTCATACACAAGAGTTGGGAAGCAGAAAAGAGGCCATCCTTCCATACCAGGAGGGCTCCAGGAGCTCTCAGGGAGCCCACAGTCCTGATATTTACAATTTTCCCCTTGTGGTACAGGGTAGAATGTGGGTTTGGAATGAGGTACTCCTGAGCTTGGGGTCAGACTCTCACCATCAAACAGCTATGACCTTGAGTAAGTCACCTAACCATTTTTAGTCCCAATTTCATCTTTTGAAAAACTGTCAAGATTTAATGAGATAACAAGTGTAATGAAAATTATTGGCACAAAACTGGCTCCGACTAAATGACATCCAGTCTAGCCTCTATTCCTTTGCTATTCTCTCCAATCCTGAAGAATTGCAGCTTTTTCAGGTACTTTGCCTTTGAGAGATACATTTTCTCCTAATGGCTCATAGCACTCAGAAAGGACAGATAGCATCCTAATCCTTTACTGCTGTGGCTGCTACCACTGCTACTACTTCTCCTAATACCGTGTTCCCACAGCCACCATTGGGGCTATTATCAGCTACTGTTAATAAGTGCTTACTAGGTCCAGGTATTTCATGAAACATTTTATATACGTCATTTCACTTAATCTTCACAACAACTCAGTAAAAAAGTTGTATCTTCAGCCAGGCGCAGTGGCTCATGCCTGTAATCCCAGCACTTTGGGAGGCCAAAGTGGGCAGATCACCTGAGGTCAGGAGTTCGAAACCAGCCTGGTCAGCATGGTAAAACCCCATCTCTACTAAAAATACAAAAAAAATTTAGCCTGGCACGGTGGCAGGCACCTGTAATCCCAGCTACTCAGGTGACTGAGGCAGGAGAATCGCTTGAACCCAGGAGGCAGAGGATGCAGTGAGCCGAGATTGTGCCATTGCACTCCAGCCTGGGCAACAGAGCGAGACTCCGTCTCAAAAAAAAAAAAATTTTATCTTCTTATTCCATAGATGATGAAACTTAGACCCAAGGGGCTTAACTAACTTGCCTCAGGTCACACTGCTTTTAAGAGACAGATGCTAGTTGGAGACATTCACGTCCATGAGCTCCTTGAGGGAAGATAGCCCCTTATACCACCACACCCTTAATGTTTGCCATGTGTTGTGCTCATGGAATACTTCCTGCCTGGCTGACAACACCAGCCAGGTGCTGTGTTCTGAGATACCTGAGAGGTGGGTTTTCACTTAGTACCCTTAGGGCACGGGGCCCATATTTTCAGCATTGGAGAATGCTTCCAAAAGACCTTCTCTCAGAATCTGGCTGGGAGCAGGATGCTGTGCTCCTGCCCATTGTACTCAGCAGAAGAGGCTCTGGGATGCTCTTGATCACATTTCACTTTATGGGTTCCATACCTTTTAAAGGGAAGCATCACACCAGTGATCAGTCTGGATGCAAATGAGTCTCTTACAAATTCAAATGAATTTCCCACAAAGAACTCCGGGTGATAAGAGCGGAAAGTAGGTGTAAGTAAAATCACTGACTTTGGGGACTTGTCAGCCAATTGCAATGCCACATCCTATTTGGTGGCTGGGCTGCAGGTAAGGACAAACTGTGGGTTTCAGTGCTCTGTCTGTATCTTCATGGGTGGCTCTGGGGGAAGCATCTGGGGTAGGAGCACAGGCCTTAGGCCCTGAAGTTCCAACTCACAGTATTAACCATGGCACCCAATGTGGCTAAGAGCTCTCAAAGAGATGCCAAACTCTTCTTTGACTGTTTTGCCTAATGATTGGAGTTGATGTGATTTCAGTTCAGTTCAGTAGGCCTGGTTCAAATGTGGCCTCTGCCACAGAAAGCTGTGTGACCTTGGGGAAGTCATTTAATCAGCTTCCTTAATGGTACAATGGGAATAACAATGCGAAATGACGAGAGTGGTTCGTGGTATTAATAGATTCAACTTGCCCAACATGTAGCTTTCCAACCCATGCCAGCTGCATCCTTTTCTTCCTTGCTTGTTTGACAGAATTGTTTCCCCTGTTGACCAGCTGGAAATCCCTTGCTGACCCCTACCTCCCAAATCTTCTTCTCTCCTCCCTCCTCCAACCGGTAAACTCCTTAAAGACAGTAGCTGTGCCTCTTTTATTTTCATTGGCCCAGTGCAGGTACTGGACAGATGAATGATAAATAACAAATAAATCAGTGACTATCTGTGTCCCTGTCTTCCATACATAATAGCAATGACATTTTTTACCGCACTTCATCTTGGAAAAGTATTTTTAGTGCTCACTTATTATTATTTAATAGGCATAACAATCTGTGAGGCACATGGTATGATTATCATTTTAGAGGTTGACGTTGACTCAGGTGAAAGTGACTTGTCCAAAGTCACTCTGCTAGCATGTGGTCTGTCTGATACTTCATTCACTAGTCAGCAGATGTGCTGAGTGCTTACTATGTGCCAGGTACTGAGCTGAGTGATGCTTTTGGCATTTCCTCCCTTCTCTGTCACACTCTATGGAGAAGTAGGTCTGGTTCATGCTAAGACCAACATGTATTATCAATTCTAGCTGGTTGGGATACACCAAAATAGACATGGATCACTGACTTCATGGAGCTTACATTCAGTCAGTGGGAGCAGAGAGCAGAGTAAACAACACACTTGCTAAATAAGTAAATTATTAAGAATGGTAAGGGGTCAACCATGCTATGGGGGCGAAGTGGATTGGGGCGAGGGAGAAATTGCCCTGAGACCTCTGAAAGGCCTTTTAACCTCTAGCATCTCTCATTATAAAATAAACATTTCATTGTTGGATGCATAGGGATACTGTATAGGTTTGTCTGATAAAATATGTCAGAGGCCAAGGAGATTGATTTTCAGTGAAGACTGGTCAAGAAACACCGTGACCGTGTTTCTTGCGGAGGTTGGGGTGGCAGGTGGGGTGGCTGCAGGCTCCAGAGGGCTGGGGTTTGTCAGTGTGTAAGAACAAATTGGGAGGGTGGGAGTGGTCATCATAAAGTAGCTAACTATTATTGAGTCCTTGCTACTCTCCAGGTACTGATTTAAGCCCCTTATACATAGTGACTCATTTAATCCACACAGCTATTATCATTAAATGCGGGAGATAAATTGAGGCACAGAGAGGTTAATAACTTGCCCAAGGCCACAGCAGAAGATGGCAGAGCTAGAGTGTGAACGCAGGCTGGTTGTCTTCAGAGTTAGCTCTTTTAACCATGCTTCCATGCTCTACAGTAGAAACCAACTCCTTCTGACTGAAAGAGCTGGCACAGGGAGGCCTGAGAACTGCCCAGGCCCTGCTTGCATGCAGTGATGGGGGAAGGTATATGGAGAAATCACTCTGAGTGTGAGAAAACCAAGAGCACTGGATGCTGCAAACCTGCTTTGTGACCTTAGGTGAGTCCCCTGACTTCTCTGTGCCTCAGTTGCCTTATCTGTACCATGGGGGATTAACTTAGAGGATCCTGTAAAGGCTCTTTTCTGTGCCATGCAGCCTCAGGATCTGTGGGGTTTGTGTCATGTCATTGACTCTTAACAGGCAGTCTAGTTCTCAGGGGTTAAGGTACCAGGCTTTGAATTCAAATTGACTCATGTTTGATTTGTGGCTCTATGTTTCACTGCTGGATGTGGAATCCGGATGTGTAGCTTAAGTTGGACAAATGAAGCCTTGGTTTTATCATCTGTTAAATGGATTTGCCAAGAGATCCCCTCCCACAGGTTACTATGAAGATGAAATGAGATGATATGAGCAATGAGCTGACTTTACTGCCTGACACTCAGTAAGCACCCAGTGAATGAGGGCTTTACCCACTCGTAGTATTAGGTGGACTGTTTGGTCACTGAGACTGAATTATGATCATCGTGAAGGATACTAGAGACTGTGTCATGCTCTTCTCTCTGTGTCTAAGCACAGAGCACAGCCCTGGTGTATTGTTGCCCTTGGTGAGTATTTGTGGGGTGAAGGGTTTGCATTGCTAAATCTCTACACTAGCGGGGCAGGCTGGTGAGGCTCCTTCTTGGCCGAGTTCTCTATGTGCCTAGGATTTAATTCACTGATGTTTATATTGTGGGGTTCTTAAAGTCTTCTAAGGATAATTTCAGTTGCGAATTAACAATCAGGAACAAACTATGAAATGTGTAAACTTGTGTCCTGCTTTTTAAAAAATCTCTCTTCCTCAGAAAATTAGCAAATAAGAAGAAATAGAGGTTGATGTTGAAAACAACAACAACAATTATCTGGAAAGCTGTGAAAACCTTCTAAGATAGTGCTTGATGTCTTCTAATTTTAATCATTCAGTACCCATGTCAGGGTTGCAGAAGCTCAGAAGTAATTGGCAGCAATTGGCAGAGGGAAGAGTTCCTCTTAAAACTGATGAATAACCTCTTTATTTCCTGTGGCACACTAGTTTTGCTATGACCCACATAAATTACAAATTGTGCTCCCTTCAACTGTGTGTCCTTTACTCTGTGTTTTGCAGCATCTCACGTTGCTCTGCCTTGCCTCGGCTAACTAGGAATCAGCAGGGCCTCAAATATTCTGGAACCTGCGCTGCCCCTCATTTTTTAAGTCTTTGCACATGTGGTTCACCCAGTCTTGGAATAGTCTTCTTCCTCTCTCAAGACCAGCTCCTACTTGATGGTTAAGACTTAGTTCAGCTACTTTTCATACTAGAATCCTATGCCCTGACCAGCCAGCCAATCTGAATTACAGAACTGTCCTCCCTACTCTTTTAGCATCTTCTGCTTCCCTCACTGTAGGGCTCACCTTACTGTGTCTCAGTCACTTCTTCACTGGTCTTCCTGGTCTCAACTGTGAGTCTTCTGAGGACAAGGGCTGTGCCTGTGTTCTCTCTCCCCAGCTGGTCTTACTAGAGTTTCTTGGCTGAATGACCCAAAGAGGTCAGACAGTGGCCTGGTTGCAAAGAGGGAAGGCAGAGACCAAAGGATAGAATGTTGGTACAGGGAGTTGTGACTGTGGTTTATATTTCACAACAGCTAAGTGTGTAACATTAGCCAGATGCCAGTGATCTATGTAGTGTTTCTCTCCAAGGTGCTTAATCAAAACCATCTCATTAATCCTCACAAAAATCTACCAAGCAGGCATGAAAGTAGAGAATTCATTTTTTGTTGCATGAGAAAATGAGACATCAAAGATGCTGAACCTGCACATTCAGAGGTTGATACAATTAGCTCCCCAGCTCTTGGGGAGGTGGGTGCAGAACTCACCCTCCTCACCAAGCCTGTGCCTCCCATTCTCTCCCTGACATCATGCTGACATATTGCTACCCCCACCTCCCACCTTCCCACTCCCATCTATTTAAGACTCGATGTGTCACATCCAGGTTCACAGATGATTTTAGAAGTGGAGAGCGAGCAAATCCTGTCGAACAATTTAACCAGATTCAAAAGGATTTGGATCATTTGCGTAATTGGGCTAGCAGATGGTAAATGTAGTTCAAAGTACAAAAATGTAGAATAATTACAAGGGGAGAAAGTAATGCAATTTATGGATGAGGAAAGCGATTTGGGAGAAAAGCTCATCGAAATCATGATCTCGATGTGTTACAAGAGAAGGACAAACAGCACAGCTCCGATAAACAAAAACAGAGTGGCCCTGGTGACTCTCCAGCTGATGGGAATGCAGGGGAGAGGACACATCTGTCCTCTGGAAGTAAGAAGGGAAATGGTTGGGGTGGAAAACCATCCCAGGGAGGATGATGATTGATCAGGCAAAAAAATGCTCACACTCACTTGAAAGTCAGGAATTACTGGGTTCATATCTCAGCTGCCTCCTTCTTACTGTGTGACCTTTGGTGAGAATCTCTCTTCCCTGAGCCCCAGTTTCCTCTGCTGTAACATGGGCATACTAATGCTTGCGTCCCTACTGCTTTGAAGAATTTATGAGATCATGGATGTGAGAAATACAAACAAGTTTTATGGAAATCTAGAAAATTCACTTTGCTGAGTATTAATTTTATACCTGCAATGCCAAAAAACCCCAGTGCTTTCAACTATGAAAATTGGAAATGGATTATTTACTAGTGTCACAGGTTGAAAAATTGACCTTTCAAATATTCCTATTCTAATCCCCAGAACCTGTGCATGTTGCCTTACATGGGATATTGCAGGTGTGATTAAACTAAGGCTCTTAAGGTAGGGACATTATCCAGGTAGGCCCTAAATAAATGCAGTCACAAGTGTTCTTTTAAGAGGATGGCTGAGGGAGATTTGACACAGAGGAGGAAGGTAATGTGACCACTAGGCACAGAGTGGAATGATGTGGCCACAAGCCAAGGAATGCCTGCAGCCACCAAAGCCTTGAAGAGGCAAGGGGTAGATTCTCTCCCAGAGCCCCCAGAGGGAGTATGGCCCTCATGATAACTTAACGTCAGCCCAGTGAAACTGATTTAAGACTCCTGGCCTCCAAAACCTTGAGAAAATAAATTTCAGATATTTTAGGCCACCAAGTTTGGGGGAATTTATTACAATCACATAGGAGACAAATACAAATAGAAAGAGAAATGACCTGTCAATAAAAGACATAGATCAAGTCCAAGTTCTGATACCATCACCTATCTTGGCCTCAGTTTCTTCATCTTTAAAGTGGGATAATAATACATTTTCTATATGGATTATTGGGAGGATGTAAAAGAGATAATGCATGCACTTTATCCACCATAGATACTTACAAAGAAAATGCTAGGCATTAAGTTTTTAATCAGGCTGCAGTTAGCATGGCAGAATGTCACAGGTCCTAACAGAGCACACTTTTGGAGACTGGATGTGGCAGTTGGCATTGTGGAAGCAGCTGGCAGTGTTGGAGACATCTAGGCAATTTGTTTGCAGGAGATACAACCATGGCCACCAAGTAGGGGCTAATGCCCAGTTCTTGTCCTAGAGCAGGCCTGTGTGCTGGGGAAGGCAATTCAGCAAACCCCAAGAGTGGAGACCATGGCCAAGAGGGGTTTATTATTTCAGTTTAGGGAAACAAGGTTTTGGCAAGGAAGTCATCCTGAAGACTCTTGATCCCAGGTCTGATTGTCAGTGAAGGAAACTCATGTAGGACAGCTGAGCCCACATCACAGCTTTCTAAAAACAACTTAAATGCCAACCCTAAAATTCTGAAACCATGGTATAAATCCTGCTTCAGTCAGACTAGGTCTAGGCACTGGGATGGGTCTGGTCCAGGAACAGTGGCTGCTAGACTGCCAGGGCTTACTGGAGGCTGCTTTGGCAAACAGAGGCCAGCTAGTCCAGGAAGTCTGAGCTGGACCCCAGAGTCCAGGGTGCTTCTGGAGAAAGCCAAGGCTTGTCCCATGTCAGGAAGAAACAGGCTAGCTGAGCAGCAAATACAAATCTTGATGAAGAAGAAAATTGAGAATACAGAACTGGCAATATTATTCAAGGCTTGGAGTCTGAAGAACAAGGCAAGATAGTAAAAGGAAGCAAGGCATAAGGTCAGAATCCAAAGAGATCTGTGGTGTCTAGAAAGTTGAGTGTCACATGTGTAAGAGCAGGCTGAGGCTGTGGACAAAGCTGGGGCTTGAAGGACTCTTTGTGTATCTGAGCGTGGTGCTGACTGTGGCACAGGGAAGCCTCCGATGGGTAAATGTGGAAAATGAAGACCAGAGAGGTGGAGCCACTTGCTTAAAGACATGACATGTGAGAGTCAGAGCTGGACCCCAAACCTTTGTCCTTTGCCAGATCTTTAAACTGATCAAATATGACCTTTTTATGAACCTCAGAGACCCCTTACTCTGGGATTTAGATAAATTATTTTCCAGATCCTGTCTCTATTCTAATTAACATCCACAATTTAACAACTTTTGTGATCTCTGATTACACTTCGAGTTTTTGAGTATCATTTAAGGAAAGAATGTGCAGGGTGTAAGAGAGGATTCAGGAACAAAAAGTAATTAAACATAATAAGCCTTTTGAGATTAGCCGTTAATTTGGATGTGAAATGTAAAATTGCCTTTAAAGTAATAAGGGATAATATCAAGCAATTGTAATATCCAGCATGGGAAGTAACGTGCTGATAACAACGCACAGGGCAGGATAACACACATGTCGGTTCCTTGATTTTTGTGGAATTAATGATGTTGGTTTCATTTCACTGCTGATTTAAGATATACATTTAATAAATGGCACATTAAGGCAAGTATATCAAAATTGCACCTAAAGAGCTGAATAGTCAGGAAATGGCAGCCTCTTGAATGCAGTAATTTTAGGATATCTTAGGTTTAATGCTTAATCAGTAGATATTTACAACTGTTTATTTTAATGCCTTCAGATGGCAGCTCAACAGAATTATCAGAAATACTGTAAGAGGACCTTGTGAGTATGCTGGGATAATATTCTGGTTTAGTCTGTAGACTCCGTAAGAAGGTAGAATATTCTTAAAGAAAAGCCTTGGTTTTTTTGTTTGTTTATTTTTTGAACCTGGGTCTCTCTCTGTTGCCCAGGCTGGAGTGCAGTGGTGTGATCTCAGCTCTCTACAGCCTTGACCTCCTGGCTCAGGTGATTCTCCCACCTCAGCCTCCCAAATAGCTGGAATTATAGCCATGCATCACCACATCCAGCTAATTTTTTTGTATTTTTGGTACAGGGTTTTGCCATGATGCCCAGGCTGGTCTCGAACTCCTGGGCTCAAGCAGTCTGCCTGCCTCAGCCTCCCAAATTGTTGGCATTACAGTCATGAGCCACCTCACCTGGCCTGTTTTGTTTTTTTAACAATATAGAAGAGTTGGATATTAGTTGTCATGCTAGAGGAGATGCATTGTTTGGGATTCATAGAAGATAAAGTATATGATAAAATGAGTTAAGACAATTTCATACCCAGGTTTGGCTCAACCTGTATAAACTTGAGAAATGATTGTTATGGAGCCTGCTTCTGACATATTTATTGGTTTCTTGGAGAAGCAGTGAGTTGTCCACTTTACCTGACACAGTTTTCAGAGGGAAAACCATTCATTCATTCCTTTGTTCATTCTAGTTATTTCATTTATCCATTCATGAGATGTTTATTGAGCACCTACTATTTGTCAGGCACTGTTTTGAATGTTGGGGATTCAACACTAAAAAGAAAAAAAATAGTAGTCTTTTGCCTTCTACGTTATGGACATAAAGAATGCTGTATGCCATTTTTTTTAATGTTTAAGGACTTGACAAGATACTTATGATCTAAGTGGAAAAGCAGAATGGAAGTCAGAATTTTCAATTGTGTGTGTGTGTGTATGTGTGTGTGTTTGGAGATGAGTAGAAACATTATTTATTGGAGGGAAATATCCCAAATATTAAATATGTATATCTCTATACCTTTTTTTTATATTAAGCATGCATTTTGTTTTCATCCTTGTATTTAAATTTTTCAAATTTTCCACAATTAATATTCATTGCTTAGCAACAAAAGAAATAACCTAGACAGTTACTGGAGCCAACCAACATGATGAGTGGAGTGTTTTTAGGAGGTTAGCCATGGTACATACGCATCTTTGTGTAAAACAGTGATTTATTTGAATTCTTAGTGTATCATCCTGAATTTGCCCTTGTTTTAAAGCCAAGAAATATA
The DNA here is from genome assembly GCF_000001405.40 of Homo sapiens. Lineage (NCBI taxonomy): Eukaryota > Metazoa > Chordata > Mammalia > Primates > Hominidae > Homo > Homo sapiens. The sequence continues at coordinate 57,254,525 of NC_000001.11, read as the reverse complement.
CACCAAACAAGAAGCCCTGTTGTTTCGTGTATACTTACCTCTAGCAAGAGCAATGATTTCTGATGTGATAAAGGCATTTCACACCAGTGAAGGATTATTTAAAAATAGCTGCTTTTGGTAATTGATTATTTTGTGTGTGTTACCCTAATGATGCTGTCTGAAGGATGAAATATCTTTTCTACATTTTCCAAAGCAGCCTTCAGTAACCCTGGTGACACTGGGTTGTCCTCACTGGCCTTAATTACTCAATGCAGAAGCTCCTGCTTCCGAGCCTGGTGGCTTCACCCACAGTGAGAGAAGCCCAGCTGATGAATCAGCCCAGGAGATTGTACTGAGGTAGTCATAGAATTTGGAAACCGTTAGGAAGCTGGGCAATTTCATTATTCATTCACTTGAAATAATCCTGGGACTGCTTTCAGTGGCATGGTTCCTTCAGCAAATAAAGATAAGCCAAATCCCTGGGCACTCAAAAGAAGGGGAAGATTCTCTAAATTAATTCCAGGCTGAAATAATTCAGCAGTATTTGTAATATTCTGTGCATAAATTGGCAATTTGCTGGAGAGATCAGGAAATGATAAAGGCTTTCTTTCCCCTCCCCCTACTCATCTTAACAACTGCTGAGGCAGCTATTGGGATAAAAGAAATGTTTTATCCTTAATAAATGTCCTATCAGGTAATGCACTGATTAAGGAGGTCCAAACATGGATGGCATCCTTCCCCCTTCAATGCAATTATTTTTCATCACAGAGACTAAAATATATCAGGAGTAGAGGATGGTTGTAATAAGATTTTTGACACAAGAAAGTTTTCTATGAAAAATAGATACACTAACCATACCAAGAAATATAGAAATAAGAGTGCTAACTTATCGGACTTTCTATTTTTCATTTCAAGGGTGTTTTAGTTGTTTTATTTTGTGGTGGTTTTGAAAGATTGCTTGTCCTTTACTGATGATACTACATCCTGGGGATCACTAAATTCAAACTTCGTTATCTCTGGACTCTCTTTCCTCCTTCCTACCCTGTCTGCCACTGTGTGATTTGGGCCCTTGCTGGGGAATCTTTAGGAGGGTTGGTTCATCATACTCCTCTCCCTCTGCATTTTGAGCCAACTGCAAATCAGACACAGGAGCCAAACAGAGATAAAAATATATCTTTTGTGTCTGGCAAAGCTGGGCTGGAGCACGTGACTTAGATCCCTCCCAGGTCTATACCTGGAGTCCTACTTGAGTTAAAATGAGGTGTGTAGAACTAACAGTCACTCAGCCGGTAATGGGGATGAGGACAGTGCTACCCTTCCGTCCTCCCGTGGCCGCTTCTGTTAATGCACATCCATAGGCAGAGCTTGCCCTGGTTGGCCTGACCCGAATGTGCCCCCTGCCCTTATGCAGATCCCGAAGCAGAAGAGCTCCACTCCTCCCAGCTGTTCCCAGCCTCAAGGATCAGATGACTCACTCCTCATATGGGACACTGCAGTAGGGTGGAATGAAAGAGCGATGCCAACTTCCTATTAATTAAAAGAGGGCAAGGGTGTCTCCGTTGTATGGACTGCTGGCCTCTTTCTCCCATCAGACTTGATTTAGCCCATTCATCTATCTGGGCCTTGGCTGTCTGAAATGCAAAACTGGTCCTGCCACTTTCCTGCTTTGTAATCTTTCAGGTTAGCATGATTTTTAAGCCCCTTGATCTGCCTACCATCTGCCTCCCTTGTTTCATAACTGTACTCCAGCCATCCCAGCTGTCGACAGGGACTTACAGGGAGCCTGTTCTCTCTCAGCTCTGAATCTTTGCCTGTAATACATGCCCCCGTTTTCCTGGGTTGGGTGCCCTTCTCAGTGACCAAATCATCTATATTTATTTTACATCTGTTGTATTACTGATCACAGCATATTTTCATTGTTGGTCTATTTCTCTGTTTGTCCAACTAGAACAAGAGACTTCATATTTGGCACATAGTAGGTACAAATTAACTGTTTGTTGGGTACATAAACAAACCTTTTTTTAAGAGGACAATAAACCTTACATTTAATCTGTGTTAAAGGAGATCACCAAACTGATTATTTTGTTTAATTTTCATGGAAATAAACTCAGTGCATTTACAGTCTCCTTGAAATAGTCCTGAGGTTTATTGTTATTATCAATGGAATCAAATAGACTCAGGGCCCTGACCTCATCTAGACTTCTTCAGGGTAAGCTACGAGTTGCTAATGCAGGACTTAGATTATAGGGACTGGGTTTACTGTAGCTGAAATTTCATCCACCTGCTACAGAATCAAATGGGAGAATATAGGCTGTGGGCCAGATTTGCGCTGATAATTAGTCAGTGATGGATGAAAAATTTTTAAGCGCAAGGGAAGGGCAAATGAATGTATCTTTACATTGGACATAAATGGAATTTCCCCATTCTTAAATCTACTCTTTTAAGTTATAGAAAACTCTTCTTTGAAGTCTTCGATTCACTAATATTGGGGTAACAATAGCTGTGACTTATCCTTAAGGACTTAAAGGAAAAGCACGACAGCTTGAGGTGTGTTTCACTTTCATCTTGCCCCATGATGTATGCATCAATTCACAGGCCTGTGGCCTAGGAGGTCTTTATGGGGTGTGTGTGCTGGGGGGCTGTCACGACAGAGGTCATTCCCTATTGGTGCCTCAGCACACCATGTGCCCATTCCAAATCATCTGATCTCATAGAAAGTTCACAGTTTTCTATTTCCAAAATTATTGTCTCCAAACAAAGAATGAAAACTTCTCCCAGCAGGTTTTGTTTGGTGAAAAAGGGTTTCAGAGACTGGCAAGGAAAAAATTCCTTCTATTTCAATAAGCAAGTTAAAAGGGAAGATTTTTTTTTCTTTGCTTTCTGTTGAAACTGAGCTGATAAAAGTCCTGAAATGAGAAAATCAAGGGGGCAGCAGTTATAAGCCCTGTCTAATGATGTCTCTTTTTGCCTCTTCAAGAGTATGTTTAAGCTTCTTACTGGCTGTTTCAGTGTACTCGAGGTGATTGGCTATATAATACACTAAACCTTTCAATACTTATTTTACAAAATTATTCAGCTCTAGCAGGCTAGACAATTTCATAAGGTTGGTCTCTAAAGGAGACTTATCTGCCTATAAGATGAAACGGTGTACATCCTCACCAAAAATTCTTAGCATTTCAATAAGTTCTAAGGACACTCATGATTAACAGTAATATCAAGGCAACATAATGACTGGGTTTTCAGAAATGGCCCTGTAAGTTGGCAGTCCCAAAGCCATTCTTCTTGCAGCAAGACCTTTCACTTAAAAAGAAATTTCACATTTACACAGACAGTTAACCATTTAAACTACCATATTCAAGGACGGTCATTCACATTGGTAAAATCTGGTAGCATTTCTGGTGGCCCAGAATGACGTTTGGACAACTACACACCTCAAGGTATGAAAACCATGTACAATAATATATGGTTTCTCTATAAATCCAATAATACCACATTTTGTTCTTTCAAACAAATAATGCTGTGCTTTCCCACATACACCTCCATGTCCCTCATACCACCACACATATAATCTATGAACTCTGAGATAGTAAGAAGAGCATGAGCTTTAATTCCAGAAAGATGTAAGTTCAAATCCTGGCTGCGAAAAATGCCATCTGGATGACGCTAGTCATGTCTCCATGGTCTCAGATTTCTCACCTATATAATGAGAAGTAAAAGTAGCCCCTCTGAAAAGATGACATGATAATATGAATATAAAGGATTTAGTAATTTATCCAGGTAAAATATTAAAAAATTATATTTACTAAAATAATAAACTAGTGAACAGCTGTTGCCTGGTGAGCAAATCTTAGGTGTGGGCCTAATATTCTATAATGATAGGCAAGTATAAATTATGAAAAGCTATGGATTCTTACTAGAGTATAGGGAAATTAAAAATTTTGGAAAGATTTGCTAGAGTTAATTTATTTTAAATACATTTTATTGGAAGGCAGTTTTCTGTGCTAGGCAATAGGAATGTCTCTAAAGAAACTAAGACTGCCCTTAAAGATTTTATAATGTGATAGAGGAAGGAAGATAACTGTTATAGCTTTTAATATGTTTGCTGGTCTCTGCCTAGACTGGAGTACCTCCTCGCGTAGGTACACCAGTATTTTACTTTTATATATTTTATTCCTCAATAATTATAACCTGAATACATACAAAGATATTGAAACATTAGTGACATAAATAATTATACTACCAGACATAGACAGATTGGCGTACAGCATCCTGCCAACTGAGGTGAGGAATTAACATTTGTGTTTTCATGCAAAATTCCCACAAACCACATGGTCCATGGCAAGGAATCTGATTAATCTGGGCAAGGGCACTGATCTGGTTTCAGCTCTGCTACTAACTAGTTCTGTGGTCTTGGGCAAGCACTTTTATTTCTTTGGGATTTGATTTCCTCCTCTGCAGTTGAGTTCAGTATAGCAAAAGTTTGCTGAATTATTTGTGTGCCAGTCCTGAATTCAGACTTTGGGATTTAAAGGTAAATAAGACACAGGGCTTGCCTTCTAAAACCACCTTTTAAGAGGGAAGGTAAACCTGTGTATATTTATAACAATAAAAATGCAAAAATAAAATTAATGCAAGCAATACATACTAGGATATGTTTTAATCTGAAAACAATAGATTATCATAGCAGCATAATAGAAGAGGAAATATCTGGGCAGAAGTCTGCATGGAGTAATAGTTTTCAGATGTACAAAGCTCCATCAGTGGGATTAGGCAGTGAGTGGAAAGAGCACTAGAGCATTCTAGGGAGAGGACTTGCAAAGGCAGAACAAGTCATGGCGTGTTCCCATCAAAGTGTAAGTAGGACCATAAGGTTGAGGCTGGGTGTGGTGGCTCATGCCTGTAATCTCAGCACTTTAGAAGGCCAAGGCGGGTGGATGGCTTGAGCTCAGGAGTTTGAGACCAGCCAGGGCAACATGGTGAAACCCCATCTCTACCAAAAATACAAAAATTAGCTGGGGGTGGTGGCATGCACCTGGAATTCCAGATACTTGCGGGACTAAGGTGGGAAGATTGCTTGAGGCTAGAAGGCCGAGGCTGCAGTGAACTCTTGTTTATGCCACTGCACTCCAGCCTGGGTGATGGAGTGAGACCTTGTCTCAAAACAAATAAACAAAACAACAACAAAAAACAAACAAAAATGATTGATCGCTTTATGAGGTTGGGGGTTTTATTCACTGATAAATGTCCAGCTTCTAGAATAAGGCCTGGGCATGATACTCAATAGGATGGGGTAAATAAATTGCCATAGTGCAAAATGTGGATTTTTTTCTCTATACATACAAGATCCACATCAAAATTCAGTTACTGTGCTACTTTGACTATTTGTTTTATTACCTTGGCTAGAACGTAAGTTCCTCACTGGCAAAAAAACACTTGGAAAGCCTTCAGTAGACACTTGACAATTGAATAATTGACTCAAGCCTGAAGCACTGTGTGAAACCTTTATAGGCGGTCTGACTTGGCACTGCCCACATCTAGGGATCGTGAACTTAATATGCCTGTCTTGTTTGAGGGGCAGCAAAAAGCAGGTGGCTTAACTCTGTTAATTATCCTGAGACCTATGATAGTGACTAATGCTGCAACTGCAAGGGACTCAACTGGATCTCATGAGGAGGAGGAAAAATGCTAGCAAAAGATTCATTGGAGGTTAAATAACATCCCATATACAGTAATGAGGGCCTGAGCAAATGCAGATACCTGTGGTTAAAGAAAATCACAGTTCCTACACAACTAGCACAATTGTGGGCATAGGAGACCTTCCTGCTTCATTATTCTGAGGAATAGCATTATCAGGGAATTGCAAAGATTTGAGCTTCAAAATCAATATGTGCTGAGAATTACACGGCAGGAAATCCAGGAACTGTAATACTTTGAACACTGTTTTTGTAGTCAATTTTCAGAAAGTCCATGAATTCAAATTCAAGGACATGTTTTCAGCACCGGCACTTGTTAGCTGATACAGTCATATGTTTGTTTGGTTTTTAAAAAGTAGTTTAGAAGCATAGTATATATTTAATGAATATATACTATTAGCTAAACACTGTTCTAACTATGGGGTGGATTTATTGCTATAGATTCAGCCCTAAAGGAGTGTGCAGTTATGTTAGAGTAATTATGGCCACTGTCATAAAAATGTACAGTTGACCCTCCATATCTACAGGTTCCTCATCTACAGGTTTGGCATTCTCAGGTTCAACCAACCATGGATTGAAAGTATTTTTTTAAAAAAAACAATAAAAATAACAAAACAACAATAAAATAATACAGATTTAAAGAACAATAAAATAGATTCACTATTTACATAGAATTTATGTCATATTCATTGTTATAAGTGATCTAGAGATGATTTAAAGTGTACAGGAGGATATGCACAGGTTAGATGCAAATACTATGCCATTTTATGTCAGGGACTTGAGCATCCTCTTGTTTTGGTATCCACAAGGGTCCTGGAACTAATCCCCCTTAGATACCAAGTGATGACTGTATAATCATTCAGGCAAAATTGAAGTTAATTTATTGCTCATTTGACAGTACTGAGTAGGTGAACCAGTTGGAGGGTGTCTCTTTTCCAGGCAGTCATTCAGGAACAAAGGCCAAGGAGGCTCTGCCATTTTCTACAAGTAGCTTCCAAGGTTTTCATGGGGCTGGTCTGCATTCCAGCCAACTAGCAGGGAGAATGGGCATAAAAGAGCATCCATATAAGTGGTCTTTATGGGCCAAGCCTAAAAGTTACACTCATCACTTCTACTTATATTATGTGGGCTAGAACCAGTCACAAGGCTTTCCTAACAACAAGGAAGCCTAGAAAATATAGGCTAGTTGTGTACCACAGAGGAAGAGCTGTGCCCTTAGGGGTTTTAGAAACATCCTACAGTCTCTTCCATAGCAACCTACTACATCAGTTAAGTGAAGTTCACAATTCATGAAAATACAAAATATAGGAGCTTATATTAGTCTGTTCTCACGCTGCTATAAAGAACTAAATGAGAGTGGGTGATTTATGAAGAAAACAGGTTTAACTGACTCACAGGTCCACAGACTTAACAGGAAGCATCACTGGGAGGACTCAGGAAACTTACAGTCATGGCAGAAGGAGAAGGGAAACAAGCACATCTTACCATGGCAGAGCAGGAGGGAGAGAGAAAGTGAAGGAGGACATATCACACACTTTCAAATGGTCAAATCTTGTGAAGAACTCGCTATCATGAGAACAGCAAGGGTGAAATCTGCCCCCATGATCTGATCAGCTCCCACCAGGCCCCTCTCCTGACGTGTGACGATTACAATTTGACATGAGATTTGAGTGGAGACACAGAGCCAGACTATATAATTTTGCCCCTAGCTCCTCCCAAATCGCATGTCCTTCTCACATTTCAAAACTAATCATGCCTTCCCAGCAGTCTCCCAAACTTTCTTAACTCCAACATTCACCCAAAATTCCAAGTCCAAAGTCTCATCTGAGAAAAGACAAGTCCTTCTGCCTGTGAGCCTGTAAAATCAAAACAAGTTAGTTATTTCCAAGATACAATGGGGGTACAGGCAGTGGGTAAATGTTCCCATTCTAAAAGGAAGAAATTGGCCAGAACCAAAGGGCTACAGGCCCCATACAAGTCCAAAACCCAGTATGACAGTCATTAAATCTTAAAGGTTCAAAATAATCTCCTTTGACTCCATGTCTCACACCTAGGGCACACTGATTCAAGGAGTGGGCTCCTATGGCCTTGGGCAGCTCTGCCCCTGGAGCGCTGCAGGATATAGCCCCCGAGGTTGCTCTTATGGGCTGGCATTCAGTGCCTGTGGCTTTTCCAGGTACACATGCAAGCTGTCAGTGGATTTACCTTTATGGGGTCTGGAGGACAGTGTCCCTCCTCTCACAGCTCCACTAGGCATTGTCTCATTGAGGACTCTGTGGGGTAGGGGGGCTCCAACCCCACTTTTTCCCTCTGCACTAGGTTCTTCATGAGATCTCCGTCCCTGTAGCAGACTTCTACCTGGACATCCAGGCATTTCTATACATCCTCTGAAATCTATGTGGAGGCTCTCAAACTGTTGCCTTCTGTGCACCTGCAGGCTCAACACCACATGGAAGGTGCCAAGGCTTGGGGCTTGCACCCTCTGAAGCAATAGCCCAAGATGTACCTTCATCCCTTTTAGCCATGGGTGGAGCTGGAGCAGCTGGGACATAGGGTGCCATGTCCCAAGGCTGCACAGAGCAGGGGGCAGCGGGTGGTAGGTTCTTGCCCATGAAACCATTTTTCTCCCTCAGGCCTCTAGGCCTGTGATGGGAGAGGCTGCTGCGAAGATCTCTGAAATACCCTGGAGACATTTTCCCCATTATCATGGCTGTTAATACTTGGCTCCTCATTACTTATGCAAATTTCTGCAGCTCACTTGAATTTCTCCCCAGAAAATGAGTTTTATTTTCTACCACCTAGTCAGGCTGCAAATTTACCAAATTTTTATGCTCTTCTTCCCTTTTAAATATAAGTTCCTATTTCAGACCATCTCTTTCTTCATGCATATGCATGTACACTTTTAGAAACATCTGGGTCACCTCTTGAATGCTTTGCTGTTTAGAAATTTCTCCCACCAGAGAGTGTAAATTAGTTCAACCATTGTGGAAGACAGTGTTGTGATTCCTCAAGGATCTAGAACTAGAAAATAATATTTGACCCAGCGATCCCATTACTGGGTATATACCCAAAGGATTATAAATCATGCTACTATAAAGACACATGCACAAGTATGTTTATTGCGGCACTATTCGCAATAGTAAAGACTTGGAACCAACCCAAATGTCCAACAATGATAGACTGGATTAAGAAAATGTGGCACATATACACCATGGAATACTATGCAATCATAAAAAAGGATGAGTTCATGTCTTTTGCAGGGACATGGATGAAGCTGGAAACCATCATTCTCAGCAAACTATCACAAGGGCAGAAAACCAAACACCACAAGTTCTCACTCATAGGTGGGAATTGAACAATGAGAACACATGGACACAGGAAGGGGAACATCATATACTGGGGCCTTTCAGGGGATGGGGGCCTGGGGGAGGGATAGCATTAGGAGAAATAGCTAATGTAAGTGACGAGTTGATGGGTGCAGCAAGCCAACAATGCACATGTATACCTATGTAACAGACCTGCACAATGTGCACATGTACCCTAGAACTTAAAGTATAATTAAAAAAATAGAAATTTCTCCCAGCAGGTACCCTAAATCATCTCACTCAAGTTCGAAACTCCACAGATTTCTAGGGCAGGGGCAAAATGCCACCAATCTGTGCCAAAGTATAGCAAAAGGGACCTTTACTCCAGTTCCCAATAAGTTCTTCATCTCCACCTGAGACCACCTCAGCCTGGACTTCATTTCCATATCCCTATCAGTATTTTGTTCAAAACCATTCAACAAGTCTCTGGGAAGTTCCAAACTTTCCCACATTTCCCTGTCTTCTTCTGAGTCCCTCAAACTGTTCCAACCTCTACCCCTTACCCAGTTCCAAAGTCACTTCCACATTTTCAGGTTATCACCTCCTACCAGTACCGTCCCCTGACACATGGGGATTACAATTCGACATGAGATTTGGGTAAGGACACAGAGTTAAACCATATCAGAACGCTACGTTAGTTTATTGACTACTATATGTTAAGCCCCTTGCTTTATGAGTCTACATAAATTATAGCATTTTTTCCTCCAGATAATTTTATGAGTTATTTATTATTACCTCATTTTACAAAAGAAGAAATGGAGACTCAGAGTGTTTCAGACCACTTTTTATGGTGTTTATTTGAAGCCACTTATAGAAAGTTAAGGGAGGATTTGATGAAGTCCCTGTTTCCCTAATTTGCAGAGTAACTAATATTGTTTGTTTACATTGGTCAAGAGTAATAGTACAACAAATGCTATCCTGCATGTCTCAAGACAGAGTTTTCCACCTCTAATCTTCAGCTGGAGATTATCAGTCCTTGTTCTTGTCTGTTCCTTTGGTGATGTGTGGTTCTCCAATAGAGTTTATTTGGTGATACTCTAAGTCATGGAATAAAGACTCATTACTCAATCATTTATCTTCTCATCTATCCATCTTTCCTTTATCAACCCATTTGTTCCTTTGTTCATTTATTCTTTCTTTCAGTAAATATTTCTGATATTTACTGTGGCCATTAAATGTGCCTAACACTGTATTGGGTGTTTGGAGTACAAAGACAGAAAAGTATGGTGCCTTGCCTTTTGCAAGCTCACTGTTTATTCGGAGAATCGAACATGGTAAAAGACAATGGAGATAGTGTAAGGCTTTAAAAAGGGCATGGGACAGAAAATGCAATTGGAATAAAAAATAAGAGAGCCAAATATGCCAGAGAGTAGTTAAGAGAGAATACACAAAAAGAGAATATATAGGTTTTGGGAAATAAAAAGTTTTCCCAGGTTACAGAAACAACAAGTGGAACATTCTGGATAGAGGAAATAACACAGATAAAGGAAAGGAGGAATGTGAAAGTGGATTATGTTCAAGAATAATTTTTAAAAGAATGATCTAGTGGAAGGTCCCTGGGAGGAATAGCAAGAGATACGGATGAATTGGTTCCAAATGTTTACAAAAGGTACACCCTTGAGGCTGATGTCCTTTTAATTTGCCTCCATGATAACTAGGGCTCCTGTGTGGTTGTTGGGGTTGGTCTATGCCATTGGTGCAGGGGAAGCGACCACCAGCGCTGCTTATGTCTCATGGTGTAGGCAGTGCCGGGATTCATCTGCCTCCAATGAATTTCTCTGGAGACCCAAGTGAGGAAAGGAATGATTAAGGAATAAACTTCCAGTGCATTGAAACCTTCCTGGCCTAGCAGGCAAACATGATGTATAGAATGGGAGTCCTGGAAGTCAGAAGTGGGTTGGATGCAAGAACAGAGAGAGTGAACAAGAGGGTAGGGAGTCCGGGCTGTGGGTTTGAGCATAATTGACTCTCCCCTCCTCATTCCTAGCACACACACGTGCATACACACACACATGCATCTCATTGGAAGCTATATGGTTAGCTTAGTCAGGAGAAGATAAATGAAACAGAGAGTTGAGGGGCAAAAAGTATTGGGAAAAGCCACAGTCCCATAGGTCTGTGCATGTCTGTGGGAGAGATGCACCATTAACCACTAATCTTCTATGGATTTTTTCTCAAGTACATCTCTCAGCTGCTTTTTTTCGTTCACAGTGATTTCAGGGACCACTCATAATTACACCAAGTGAGGCAGCCCTTAAGAATGATTAAAATAAAAATAGTCCTAATAAACATGTAAGTATTGATCCATCATGGCTGATCAATCATATCTTTTCCATTTAGCTGGGTAGATAATTAGTGCTGTTAACAGGCTTTGTGGCTCACACATAAACTGGAGTTAGGCAGTCAGGGGAACCTCAGAGTATCCGCTTTAGGACCCTCCAGTGCTGGTAACAACCCATTTCAGGTCAATTCAACAAGTATTTATTGAGTATCTACTAAGTATGCAAATTGTGCTGCCACAATAACAATGATCAAAGGATACTGATCTAAAATTGCCCTTGAAATTTTTCCAGTCGGTTTATTGCATTTAGAATAGTGGCTCTGGGGAATGACGAATGGAGACTGTCTACAAACAGTTCTCTTTAAATATGTTTTGAAATGCTTAGCGAGAAAGGGTTTTGGCTCTTTTATAATGAAAAGCAGGTTTAAACATTGCTTAAAAAATGGTCAGTAGATTATGATATTTAGCATTTGTTAGTAAATATTTAGGATTCTTAATCAGAAATGACTTCAAAAAATGTTCCAAGAGTTGAGGAAACTCTGTTAGGTAGAGAAAAATCTATACATTGTAAAGTTATTATCAAAGGATTATATGCAGACCAAGGAGTTGTGTGTATGTTGCTGGTATTGTTGCAGATCTGTTCATTTATTTTTTTCCTGTTCGTATTTCTGCTTTTACCTTGAGAAGTAAAAATAAGGAAATCAGAAAGACCCATATGTGCTAATCGACCACGTGTTATGATCACCTCCTTGAGAAATGCAGGCACCCCATGTGTATTTACCTACTTCCCCCGTGACCCTTCCCCTCTGGAAAAGTTGCTTTGTCTCTTTTTCTCTTTGCCCAAGGAAAGACCTTTATGACCCCTTAGCCCAGAGTTAAAAGATGAAAGGCAGAAGAAAAGCACCTGAAAATGCTTTTGTCACTAAGATGCTCTGAATCTCCAAAGGGAAAAAAACTATAAAGATGTTTTCAACTCTTAGAAAAAGTTCAGGGTAAGTTGAAGATTATTCTAGGACCTTGGAGTTGGCTTGTAAAATATGCTGTGTTCTCCAACCTTTAACAATTTCAGCCATAAACCTATAACCATTTACTTGTGATCCCTTTTCATATATAATATATAGAAAAAGTCTAGTCTAGTTTCTAGTCTAAAACCATATGGTTGTCATCACTCAAACAGACTCTTCTATGAGATGTTCTAAGTCTTTAATATAAGATTGAGAAATATAGGAATGGGGGAAATGACTTGACTGTGACTGAAGTCACTGACAAGTAGTATTCATAAGAGCTGTTGGAAACCTGGGCCTTCCTTTAGCTTAGCTGGCATTAGAATGCAAGGGTGTTGATATGTGGATGGGGCCTAGCAGTAGACATATGAACGATAAGTGTTTGAAGCCCAGCAGGTTAGAGGAATTAACCCCAAAGCTTCCCTTCCATGGAAGATCTCAGCCAAGAGCTCAGAGTAAGGGAAGTGAGGTCCTTATTCCAAGGACAAGATCTGGCAAAGGCTAGACTCAGAAGGGCTAGACTCCATATCAGTGGGTGGCATTCCCATTCCAGATGAGGAGCAATGTACAACTGCAAACCTTGGTGGCAGTGGTACAGTGATATATGCTGACCAAATGCACTGAAGAGTGCCAACTCAATTATTATTTCGATGTCCAGACTCCACTCTAAGCCCAACAGATATTGAGTCTATAGCAACGTGATCAATTCTAGGCCCTATTTGCTAATGAGGCTGATGGTCTATTTTGTGCCCTGGTTGGTAGGCTTTAGATTTGATAGAATGAAACCTGGGTGTTTTATACTAAGGTCATAATGTCTCAATTAGAAAGACACTGATAAGGAAGGGACAAACTGAAAAAGGTCATACCAGCATATAGCAGTGTGTTTCTCAGTTTTATCTCTGTTCTTCTCCTTCCCTCAATTACACTGTATATTTGTATATTCACCCTTTTGGCTGTTATGCAGCAGAGATTAGAACTGTGTTGACTGATGGGTGACAAGAGAAAAAAGCTAAGTTCAATAATTTAATACATATTTATTTATTGAGCATCTAATCAGTGCCAAATACCTTACTAAGTACTGGAGATACTATGATTAATAATAAGACAACCTCTGCCAGATTTCTGCATCTCATCCCTAGTTTTCATTCTTAGCATATCCACTCTGCTGGTGGATGCGTGTATAGTGCAGATACATGCAAATGTAACTATTGTCTGTTAGTTCATATGAGCAGATATGCATAGCTAGAAAAATCCCACCAGGAGATGCAAGAAGGGGAGAGGTCTGCATTTATCTTAAATAGGGCTCTTCCCAGAACAAGGGTAAATCCCAGAGGGAAGGTTAATATAATTAACCAAGCATTGATAGTAAGGGTGTTTCTTATGCTTTAATCACATCAGTTGAATCTGCAATAGTAAGCTCAGTTTAATGACTAAAATTTTAATTTCCGTAGTAGCATCATATTCATCCTTCATTTCTCAAGCCCAGCCTCCTCAGCTCATTCTAGCCCATGTTCATCATTCTTGTCTCTTATTCATTAAACCATAGAAATAGAGGCAGTGTTATACAATGTAAGCAATATTGGGCATACAATCAGAAGACCTGAGTTTGAGTTTGCATGTCTCTAATTATTTGTGACTTTGGTCAAGTTAATATTTTCTGAGCCTTGGTTATCCTCATGTGTAGTGTAGGGATAATAATGCTGGCATTTTAGTATTGGTATGTCTAGACGTATATGGATGATGATGTATGGAAATTTCTTAATATTTCAGCTGTTTTTCCCAAATACCTAGCACAGTGTATGACCACTGTAGATGATCAGTGGAGGTGTGCAAGAAAGCCATTATTTAATGTGTTTGTTTTATTCATTCCAGTTTGTCTTTTTTAAGTGTATTATTATTTGTTTTCTGAAATTTGAATGTGTGTTTTAAGTGTTGCCCTAATCAGATTCTCATTTCCTTAGGGAAGAGCCTTTTCCTTATGTTTATTTTGTCCTCTTCCTTTTCTCTTGCCCCAGGTCTTATTTTGGTACTGGAGGATTTAGGAAATGCTCAGCAAATAGTAATATATTGTTCCTTAATGATTTAATATCACCAGTTAATAAATATGTGTCATCAGTATGCATAAAGACATTACGTCTAAGCTTAGTGTGGTTGGAGGATTGCATTGTGCCCTAGACAGATAAAATTTTAAAATGAATCACAGTTTAATTCAAATAATCAGAGTCAAAAGACAAGTCAGATTCTGGAGAATAAAGGCTGTTTCCTTTTTCATCTATGAATTCCCAGGGAAGGGACTGGTTCGCATCAGAGGCACTTTAAAAGTTTCTTGCCTGGACGGGCAGATAAATTAATTAGTTATTTGACAAATGACCTGACAGATAGTAAAAGTCTTTGAGAGTCAGAAAAGAGAGAATTTATCTGGGAAGTGCAATGTTTTGATTTTTTTTTAAAGAGGAACCTAATTAATTGACCTGGGTTCTTTCAGGATGAAATAATCTTTTGGGTAAATAAAAAGAAAAATAAAGAGAAGACAGTTCTCTAGGCAGGGAAAACAGAACAGGTGAAACTCTGGAAGTGGAAAGGTCTTATTGTTTTGAGGACAGATGGAGAGGCCTCTTGCTGAAACAGTGTGGAATGTGAAAGGCCGGCTATAGGTCTGGAAGATAGGCACGTGGGACCACACTCCCCATTGCCTAAATCAGCTAGATATTGTTTATTTATATATCCATGGTCATATGCCATTTGCCAGGCCCCATTCTAGGCACAGGAGATACTGCAGTGAACAAGAGATGCATCTTCTTTGTCCACATGAAGCTTACATTCTAGTGGGGAAGATGAGCACTAACCAGTAAAACAAATTAATGACATGATTACTGTGTACAGCAGTAAGTGCTGGGAAGACAATAATACAGTGATGGGATAAAAGATGACTGTGGCAAATGGTGGATTCTTTTAGATGGACGAGACAGGACAGGCATTTCTGGAGAGATGACTTCTGAGTGGACATTTGAATGACAACAAGGGGCCTGATAGGTAAAGATCTGGGTGGAAGTCTATGTGGGCCAAAAGACTGGCTGTGCTCAAGGGTCACAAGGGCAATGAGCTTAATGGGCTTGACCAACAGCAAGAGTGTGTCCTGGACTTCTGTAAAAGACAGAGTTTCCAAACCAAAACTGGGGACATGAAGTCAAAAGAAGTATTTTCTTCTATGATTGGTAAATAGATTTACAGAAAAAAAATCTTATTGGGCCATAAAAAATTATATTCGGGACTCACCTTTATAGCTAAGAAAACCATTTCAAGTTAGGGGTGTGTGTGTGTGTGTGTGTGTGTGTGTGTGTGTATGTGTGTGTGTGTGTGTGCGCATGTGCACACGCCTGCCAGTGTGTGTATGTGTGTATTATTTTTTCTTCTCTCCCCTTATTTCTGCCCAGTACTATAGAACTATTTCCAGTCATTGTACATGGATTGTTGTTCACTTATATTTCTTCCTAGAGCTTTAACTGACAGTGAAGTGCAGATGCCCTGGAGGAAGGGATTAACTAGGGCTTAATCTGAAGCTCCTCTTAGGATGCAGGAAGGACTTCTGGAGGAGGCTGTGATACCAAGAGGATTGATACCCAGGAAAGAACATAGGTGACCTCATTCATCAAGCTCGTGCTTCATCACAAGACCTTACTGACTTCATCCCTAAAAACTCTCCAATAGAAGTGAGCAAGAGAGCGAATCTTCATCAGACGGACAGATAGCAGCATCTAAATATAGAGTTTGCTATTGTCTTTGTATGGATGACCTCATAAGTTCTTTCTGTTCCCTGTATCCTCTGGCTCTTTCTCCTAGGTTGCTGTGGCACAGGTGCATGGCTGTAAGCCTCTTGCTACATTCCTCTAAGCTGGTGATTCTCAGGGTATCATAACTAGAGGGCTTGCCACAAAAGAGTTCTGGCTCCATCCCAGAGTTTCTCATTCAGGAGGTCTCAGGCAGGGCACAGAATTCTCATTCCTAACACCTTCCAGGGGATGCTGATACTGCTGGCCCAAGGACCACACTCAGAACCACTGCTCGAAGCCACAGCCTTGGTTTCGTGGTCTAGGAACACATCTCCTTGTTCTAAAACCCCTTTTGGTTCCTAAAGACCACAGAGCCAAGGCTAACCTCCACCCAGTATTCAGCACCACTCACCCTGTCAGGCCTGGACTTGTCTTGTGTCCCCTGCTGCTTGGTTCCCCATCTTCTTGCCCCTACCATTCACCACCAATTTGTCTTTTCTCGTTCTTTGCCTGAACTACCTTCCTCTCCATTAATTTTATGTCCATATCCAATGCACTCTTCAAGATCTATGTGTAATTCATCATCCCTTTGCCCCAAAGCATTTTCCTTACACAGAATAGGTGGCTTTTTAAATAAATGTGGTTTTCAAGTGCAAACCTCTCAGAATCTTTGTATTTTTGAACAATTTGAGTAATCTCTCTGAGCCTTTACTTTCTCTTCTAGAAAGTGGGAATGATGTTTTGAAACTTACAAGGCTATTGATGGGCTCAAACCCATCAGTGCATGAGCAAATGTTTCATAAACCATGAAGTGATATTAAACAGTAGTTAGTTAGGTTATTGTATTTTCGCTTAGAGTATTTCTTGTAGTCCAGGATATTAGAAAAATATATAATGAATGCCTTTGCTTAGCTAGTTGGCAGTAGAAAATGGGAGTGACATTCTGAGAGAGAAAGGAAATCTATTTCAGAGCTCTGATACTGAAAAGAAGTAAACAAATTCTTTTGGATGAATGATAAAGGTAGCAGGGATAATTTATTTTCCTATCTGGCTTACCTCCAGGCTATTAAAAAAGTCTAGGAAGTGGTTTGTGTTTAATTGTAAAGCTTCCCTAAGAAAAGATGAATTGTCTCCCCATGGGGACAGGTTGTCTTTTATCTGGACAGTGCCTGCTTCATCCCAACAAATGTACCTCATGTTAGGTCCCATGCTGGGCACATTGGGCTTATTCAGATAGAAAAGTCACAGTCCTGCCCTCAAACATTTCAAATCATGTCAGAATTACTCCTAAATGAAACAATCTCTCTCGTCTTCAAAGAGTGGCAGACCGGAGCATTTGGGAGGAGAAAATGGGGACAGAAACCTCTGGGGGAAATTTTAGCTCTGTTCTCTCCAGTACAGCAGCTACAGCAGTAGTAGCACTACTACTATTTAGATGTAAATTTAAATTAAAAATACAGTTATTCAGTTGTGCTTGCCACATTTTAACTGCTTAAAATTTACATGTGGCCAATGGCTACCATATCAGCACAGAATATTTCCCTCACGATGGAGTCCTATGGGGCAGCCCTGTGACTCTGCCTCCTCCGCATTCTCTCGTAAGACCTAAGGGCCTGGCAGGGCCAGTGACCTCAGTCTCCCACCAGCTCTCTGCCCCTTCAGTTTGACTTGCTCTACCATGGCATCAGAGTGATGTTTCAGAGTGATGTGTTCTACTCTCATATATCAAGATTTCTCATTCTACATGAAAATCAGTTGTTGGCTTCCTCTGCCCATGAGAAGAAAAGATAAGCTCTGTAGCATGACGTAAAAAGGCATTGTTGATTTGTTTCTCCTGTGTCATCCCTGTCCCATGTCCCATTAATGTTACTGGTATACTGAATTCACCATTTTTCAGTCATGCCTTGAAGTTCGTTCTTCTAGCCCATTGCCTAGAATGTAACCCCCTCCCTCCTTTTCACGTTCTTTGTGCTTGTCCTTCAAGGCCCCAGTTAAATGTCTGCTACAAGTTGGCCCCTTCTTTTCTGTGCTCCTGTAACTCTCCTGTAGCGCTTTTCAGGTCCGGCCGAAGTGATCTTCATCTTTACATGTTTCTTCCCCTACTCAACTGTGAGCTTGTGGTCTTGCCCAAGTTTGTGGGTTAGTCACATTTGAATCCCCTGCTTCTGACAAAGGAGGAAGTTGAAAGTTACATGTTAAATAAACAGATCCTGCACCAAGGAATAAATTGGTATGCAGGTAGTGAATGAATGATGAACAAACTATCTCCCTAGGCCAAATGAGGATTAATGAACTCCGTAAAAGCCTTTGGGTACCCAGTCCAATTCTGCTCTCGTCTTCTTTCTGTAAAACTCTGGGTGATCACTCAGCATCCAGAGCCAAATACCTTTGAACTCAAGATGTTAAACTAGATATCAGGGTACCACCCCCAAGTATGAGTTAATCATTTTAGGAATAACGTAGGTCAGGAGATAAAGAGACTGCTGCTTTCAATTTCAACCGATATTGCTGACAGGCTCTGTGTATGCTCCTAATGGAGTGGACCATAAATTCTGAGCTATGCAGACTGCAGCAAGGTGGGATGCTCACATTGTGATGCGTCTACATTATTCTTCAAGTTTAATGTTAAGGAGATTAAAATGCAAGCGATTCCTTTGTGCCTACTGTGGTAGATGCAACAGATGTGATTCAACCATATGCAGGAAGCTTGTTTTTTTTTCTTTTTTAAAGTTTTGAATGGAAAACATGGGACTAGAGACAGAGACAGATTTAGATTCAAGCTTTGTCTCTGTTCTCACTTAACCAGGGACACTGAGTAAGTTACTTGAACCTTAAGTTATCTGTAAAATTCAAGTAATAATAATTCTTATCTACCTCTCCACCCACCATGGATAATGTGATGCTTGACAGAGCTGCTACACAATCATTTAAATCGTAATCACTCCAGAGGAAAAGGAGCTAATATATATCAGGCATCTATGAACCAGGCCCTGTGCTAGGCCCATTAGGTACATTATCTCATTTAATCCACATCGCAATCTTCAATAGGCAAATGTTGTCATTACTACAAATAACATCTCTTGTGTCAGACCTATTAGTTTCTGTGTACCTACTATGTATCAGACATAAATTCTCTAAACTAGGTAATAATGTCCCTTATTTTAATTTTGATGATAGAGAGATCTGAGAGGTTAAATCACTTGCCTAGAAGCACACAGAGAATAAGTGGCAAAGTGGGAGTCCAACCGAAATTCAGAGACTCCTCTCACTTACTTTGTTGGACATAACTCTGTGTTAGGCAAAACTTTCCAAATGGCCCCCAAATGGTATTTCCCTCTGATCCCTGAAATCTGTGAATATGATGAGTGATCACGTTATGTTACAGGGCAAAGTTTACCTTAAAATAGGGAGACTATCCAGGTGGTCTTAATCTAATCACGTAGGTCCTTCAAAGCAGAAATGTCTCTGTCCGATGATATAAGAGGACGTCAGAGACATTCAAAGCAAGAGAAAGATTCAATGTGCTGTTGCTGGTTTGAAGATGGAGGGAGTCACTTTAGAAAAAATAGGCTGAGCCCCCAGCACATAGTCAGCAAGGAATGGGGACCTCAGTCCTATAGCTCAGTCCTACAGCTACAAGAAACTGAATTCTGCCAATAGCCTGGATGAACTTAAAAATGGGTTCTTTATCAGAGCCTCCAGGTAAGAGCTAGCCTGGTCAATACCTTGATTTTGGCCTAGTGAGACCCTGAGCATAGAACCTTGTTGAGCCTGCCTGGACTTTTGACCTACAGAGCTATGAAACAATAAATGGGTGTTAAACTACCAAATCTGTGGTGACTGGTTACATGGCAGCAGGAAACTAATACAAATGCTTTATATTAGTTTATATTAGTTATTAATAATAGCAGTTACCTGATAGGGTTATTTTATGGAAAAAATTAAAAACAAAAAAAACTAAAGCACTCAATACAATTATTGACACCTAAAAAATAGTATCTTTTATTTTTATCACCATACTCACTTTATAAATATGGAAATTAAGGCTCCAAAAGGTTAAATAACATGCCCAAGGCCACAGAACCACTGAGAGTCAGGGTGGGAATATTCATGAATTCACCTTGGAATTATCTGTGGAACTTACTAAAATAGGGATTTTCATGTCCTGACCATAATCTTTATGATTCAAATTCTTGGGTAACTATATTTTTTAAAGCCTCATGAATGCTTTTAAAGTACACTCGTGTAGTATTACCACACTAGACTGTGAACTCCTTGAGTCGGGCCATTCTTAATCATATTTGTACAAGCAATAGTACCTGGTTCTTGTGTATACTCTCTGCATGTTCACTGAATGAAACAACATTGAACAGTATTCTTTCTGTAGTTTTTAAAAATAATATCCTTCCAATGGATTGCACAACACCATTAACCTTGGAGTGGTTGTTAGTTAATATGGTTTTCTACCTCTCTTCTAAATTGACCCGTTTTGGCAGCTGGCAATGTAAGCCCTACATTCATGATAACTGACAGCTTTCAGTTTATGAATCAGCTCCCAGTGCCCTACCTCCCCACTCACCTCCAAGTATATAGTTTCTCTTTCCTTTCTCAGTTTGCAGAGGAAGCCGTACCACTCACCTGGCAGCAGGTTTATTTTTTTATTTTTATTTTTTTTGAGACAGAGGCTCGCTCTGTCGCCCAGGCTGGAGTGCAGTGGCACGATCTCGGCTCACTGAAACTTCCGCCTCCCAGGTTCAAGCAATTCCCCTGCCTCAGCCTCCTGAGTAGCTGGGATTACAGGTGCCCGCCACCACGCCTAGCTAATATTTGTATTTTTAGTAGAGACGGGGTTTCACCATGTTGGTCAGGCCGGTCTCGAACCCCTGACCTCGTGATCCACCTGCCTCGGGCTCCCAAAGTGCTGGGATTACAGGTGTGAGCCACCGCACCTGGCCTGCAGCAGGTTTAAAATAAGTTTGTTAAGAATCGGAGCAAAGCAAAAAATTAGCCAGGCGTAATGGCGGGCGCCTGTAGTCCCAGCTACTTGGGAGGCTGAGGCAGGAGAATGGCGTGAACCCGGGAGGCGGAGCTTGCAGTGAGCCGAGATCCCGCCACTGCACTCCAGCCTGGGCGACAGAGCGAGACTCCGTCTCAAAAAAAAAAAAAAAAAAAAAAAAAGAATCGGAGCAAAGCTTGAAGCTGCATTGCTGAGATGGGTGAATCCTTCCTGAAAGGACAGAGCTGCTGGAGGAAGGCAGATAAAAAGCAGTGAATTCCAAGTGGGATCCCAACTTGGAAGCGTGGCACTTGGTTTTCCTTTTTAGTCTTAGCAGTGGATGCCAGAGTCTTTCCGGTTTTCCTACTCAGCTTTATTTTTAAAAACAGTTTCCCTTTCTCAGGACAGCCTACACAGTTCTACTAATAACATATCATGCAATGAAAACCTTCAAGGAGGGAAAGGAAGGTGACTGAAGTTCCTCATAAGGATCAGCTGCCTGCTGAACATTTTACTGGACATGGTCATACCAATGACAATCCCATTCTAAAAAATTTATATGGCACTTGCTGTCTTTCCAAAGAAATTTTACTACACTGTCAAATTAGTTTCCATTGCTTGTGGTGGAGCTGCTGACAATGGAATTGAGGTCTAAAAGTCTCCATTCCCCAAATGCCAGGCCTTTTGAAATGTCTCTGCTTTCATGGTGCCTAATAAATGTCAGCTCACATGTTGCTCTTCAGATGGGCGCCATCTGGTGTATTGGAAAGAGCTTTGGATTGAGAGATGGGAGGGAAATTACCATTTACTAGCTGTTTGACTTCTGGGTCTCGGTTTTCTCCCTAAAACTGGGAAGAGTGCATTTAAATAATCTCTAAGATACATTTAGTCTGTTAGAGCTCAAAAGTGTGTTAGAGAACGTAAGTTTCATGAGGCAGGAGGAACCATCTCTCTTGCTCATTTTTGTATTCCCGTTGTCTAGCAGAATATCCTTCAGGTAGTAGTTGCATAGTAAATATATGTTGAATAAATGACTGATTGAATGAATAAATACATGAATATCTATGAAGCTAATACAGAAATCATCACCATGTATTACTGACTTTCCTGTCTATTTCAATGAGGTTCGTGCAAAAAAAAAAAAAAAAAAAAAGTGGCCACTGCCTTTGAGAAGTGGTATGGTGGTGCAGGAATAATAATGGGTTTATTGCTCTTGGCCTTGTCAGAGCCCTAGACAATTAGTCTCCTTATTGGTCTTGCATGTCATATAAAAACCTAAAGTATAGGCCATTCCCTGAATCACATGTCTTAATAGGGCATGGGCGGCAGTGGCCACGAAAGGTGGGAAGAGAGCCTAGAACCCAGAGGCTTACCTGAAGCCTCAGGTTTAAGCTACCAAGAGTTGAAATCTGGGGAGGTCAGCCCAGGCAGAGTAGAGAGGCTGCACAGGTCTCCACAAATGGAGTACAGAGTCACTAAGTCTGACCCTCAGGGGAAGCAGCAAAAAGATAGCGGGCTAGAAATCTGATATCAGAAAAGAGGCTGGATGAGTCAGAAACAGATATGCTTCACTTCTAGAGTCCCATGCTTGAGGGTCTTTATCCTAAAAGTACCTATTTGCCTGCCCTTTCCCCAAATATACTTCCTTCTGCACATTGGGTGACACAGATTAGTAGAGAGAAAAAAGGTTTTAGAATTAAAAGAAAGTGAACTTGAAAGCTGATACCATCACTTACTACTTCTATACTTTTGAAGGATGATTTATCTCTAAGTAACAGTTTCTCCATCTTTAATATGCAGTTAATAATAGTCCCTTCTTCATAGTGTTCTGAGGACTGGATCAGGTGATATATGTAAAGCGCTTAGCTCTGTGTCTGGCATACAGCATGTAATCAGTAAGCACTTGTTTTCTTTTCTCTTTTTCATTCCTACTCATTCATTAAATATTCATTGAACACCCAGAGTTTGATAGGTACTGTATTTGATAGAGGGTGTACAGACATGAAAGAGACGGTCTCATGAAGCTCAGAGTGGAATGGAAGAAGTAGATACGTAGCAGATGAAAAACCAGTAAGTAACAATACAGTATAGTTATATCTGTATTAGAAATATAAATGTATTAACTATGGATACCCAGAAGAAGAAATTCCCAGCCTTGTCTTGGAGAGTGAGAAGGTATTCAGTGTACTGTAGCTCAAGTATTTTGAAGATACTTATGCTCAATCTAATTTTGGGAAAGAATGTTCTCTAATATTTTGTATATGTGGGCTTCGCTTTTATAATTTTTTAATTTTACATTTTAGATATAGAAATCAGGAATGCTTGGTTGATGATCTATTGAAAATAGCAACAAGGTTGCCTATATATCAATTGTGTGTCAGCTGATGGTAATAATATCTAACATTTATTGCAACTATTAATAATACTAATAATTATTAATTCATCTTCAATATGTGACAAGCATTTTTCTACTCACTTTTGTTCATTATCTCAGTTAATCCTCCCCAGATTCTCATAACATAGATACTTGTGTTATTCCTAGTTTACAATGTAGGAAACTGGAATTTGGAGAAGTTAAGTGACTTCACGAAGTTACCAGTTAATAATTTGCAGTAGCAAAATAATAGTTAATAATTTATTATATATTTCAAAATAGCTAGAAGAGAAGAATTGTAATGTTCCAAACACAAAGATAAATATTTGAGGTGATATATATTCCAGTTTCCCTGATTTGATCATTACACATTATATATATGTGTCAAAATATCACATGTACCCTCAAAATATGTAAAGCTATGACATATCAATAAAAAATACAAAGAAAATCACAAAGTTGTGACATGAACCGTGGTTTGTCTGGCTTCAAAGCTCATGTTTACGTTCACTTCAGAAATCTTTTTTTAGTAAAGAGAAATAGCATGTTTGGGTTTGTTAACAGCAAATCCAAAATAGAAAATGAGAAATTATGTTTGTTTGTTACTATATAACCACTTAATTTTAGTAATTCTATTTCCTTATCATAATGACATTTTTTTTGAAAATCTGATAAGTACGTTTGATAGCTTGTCATTTAATTCATTTAACATCTTTAGCAGCTGTTTTTTTTTTTTTTTTTTTCTCTGAAGGGGTGGTAGTTGTAATCTTCAGGGAAAATTTTTCTTTTTTGCACATCGCCAATGTTGAAAGCAAAACAAATGGTTAAAGCAATCTCTGAATGGTAGCTTACACAATTTCAGAGTAGTTGTTAGCTTGCATAAGAAGTCAGAATGAGAGTTAAAGAGCTCAATTTTAACTTGCTAGAGAAATCATCTGTAATCACAAGAAAGACTATGTGGGTGTTCATTGAGTTCAGAACTGAAATTTGAAAGGCTATGCAATCACCATATATTTTTCATGGGTTCTGAAGGAGAAATATATGCTTCAATAAACAAGTCTTGATTACAAAGACCAAATAAGGAAGCTGAGAACTCCATTACTCTTCAACAGTAGCCAGTATCTTGCATATTTCCCTACTGTTGATTGGGGAGATGGACTTAGGAAATCATGTCAGAAACCCTCATTTCAGACAGAGGTCAACTGAGAGACTTTTCTTTAACATGAGGTGACCTCACATGGGAAACAGGCAAATTCAACTCTTCCAACAATGAAAGTAACAATGTGTTTCCTTTTGCTTGGAAGCAGAAATATAATTTTGGGACAATTCAAATGGCCATATAGTCCTACAGATGGCCACCAGAATGTTGAAAAAGTCTCACTTGCAAACCAGTAAAATCATTCTGATGTTTTATTGTTGCTTTTTAATTATAAATAATTCAAGCATACAGATGATTATAGAGAATAATACGATAAACATCAGTACAGTCACTATCCAGTTTTGGCAAAGCTTGAAATTTTACCTTATTTGCTTCAGATTTTTTTTTTCTTTAATAAGTAAAATATTATAGGCCGGGCGCAGTGGCTCACGTCTGTAATCCCAGCCTTTTGGGAGGCTGAGGCAGGCAGATTGCTTGAGCCCAGGAGTTTGAGACCAGCCTGAGCAACATAGTAAAATGCCACTTCAACAAAATACAAAACAATTAGCTGGGCATAGTGGTGCACACCTATAGTCCCAGCTACTCTGGCGGCTGAGATGGGAGGATAGCTTGAGCCCTGGGAGGTCGAGGTTGCAGTGAGCCACGATCATATCATTGCACTCCAGCCTGCATGACACAGTGAGAGCCTGTTTAAAAAAAAAAAAAAAAGAAGAAGAAGTGAAAAATATTACAGACACCAGTAAAGCCCTCTGTAGTTCTACTTTTGTTTAAGTGGAAAACAGTATTTTGAGTTTTGTGTTTAATGTTTCTAAGAGGGTTTCTAAAAAACTTTTATTGCATATTATGTACCTAAAATGAAATGTACTTTAGGTGATAAGTATTTTGGAACTTTATAAAAATGGATTCACACTGAACATAGACATATCTTTCTACTTTTTGGCTCAACATTTTCTGTGAGATTTATTCATGCTGATATAAGTAGTTCCATTCATGTTGATGTAAGTAGTTTATTCAACTGCTATATAGAATTCTATTAAATGAATATAACTATTTTATCTACCGAGTCTTCTGTTTACGAGACTTTAGGTAGTTTACAATATGGGGCTTTTAAAAAAAACTTTAATAACTATTCTATCCTTTGGCCTCATGTGAGAGGATATTACAAGGTGAATATCTAGTAACAGATTGCTGGATCTTACTATGTATATGCATCTTCAGTTTTACTAGATATTGCCAAATTATATTTTAAAGTGGATTTTCCAATCCATATAACCCACCAGCAGGGTATGAGTGTTTCCTACGCTCCATGTAAAAAGCAATAATTAAATCATTTAGTATTGTCACACATTTTAGTTTTTGCCAAACTGATGGGTAAAGAATGATTCCTCATCTTTGTTTTAATTTGCATTTCCCTGAATACATCTGAGGTTAGGTTATTTTCATGTTTATTGGTCATTCAGGTTTTCTCTTCTAAATTTTATCTTTATATCTTTCATCCTATATTTGCATTCTTTTTCTTACTGATGTGTTTTTTTGAGTGTATTCTATATACACATATTTTTGGTACCATCATAAATTTTGTCGTTGCAAATGAAATCATAGATTCAGTGCAATCCAGGTCAAAATTCTAACGTGTGTGGGTGTGTTTGTGTGTATAACTTGACAGATTATAAAATGGATACCAAAGTGCAGGCATCCAAGAATAGTGAAGACTATTTCAAAGGAGAACAAAGTTGCAGATATCATATGCCCAGATATTAAGGCTTATTGAGCAGGTACTGTGTTCCAGGCCCTATTATAGGCACTTCAGTCTGTTGATAGAGGAAAAGGTTAATGTATGGTGAAATGTTTGAAGCATTCCCTTTGATGCCTCAGGAACAACAACTATGGCTGCATCTATTTCAGGTTACACGGCAGACCATAACTAATGCCTCTAACTTAACCATTCACCATTAGATATGTTTACTCCTTCCACTCGCCCATAAGTTATTCCCCTAAGTTATGCCCTCTTGCTCTTGCTTCAGTGCATCAGGAAGATCCTGCCTATTGGCTGGGCACAGTGGCTCACGCCTGTAACCCTAGCACTTTGGGAGGACGAGGCAGGAGGATAGCTTGAGTCCAGGAGTTCAAGATCAGCCTGGCAACATGGTGAAACCCCATCTCTACAAAAAAATACAAAAATTAGCTCAGTGTAATGGTGCACACCTGTAGTCCCAGTTACTAGGGACGCTGAAGTGGAAGGCTCGCTTGAGCCTGGGAGGTGGAGGTTGCAGTGAACCGAGATCATGCCACTGCCCTCCAGCCTGGGTGACAGAGGGAGACTCTTATTTCAACAAAACCAAACACACACACACACACACACACACACACACACACACACACACAAAAGAAAAAAAATCCTGCCTCCACTTCTTTCCCTAGTCATTCTCTGTTGCTCCTTATCTATTTACCCAGCTTTATTACTCTTTAAAGCTTAACACATGGACATTATCTATTTTGTTTTACTGTGTCTCTCTCTCTCATTAGACTATAAGCTCTGTAATGATAGTCTTTAGTCTTCATTGCTGGATCCCCAGTCCTAGAATACTGCCAGGCATAGAACAGATTCTCAAACAATATTTGTTGAATGAATTCATGAATTGAGTCTATACTTTTAAAATCTTGTCAGGGTGAAGTAATATATTTCAATTCCACTAAGGCTTAGGATACAAATGTTTCCTGGATTGATTGATTGATTATTTGATCACTGTCACCCATGCTGGAGTGCAGTGGTGCAATCACAGCTCACTGCAGACTTGACCTCCTGGGCTCAAGTGATCCTCCCCCCTTTGCCTCCAAGTAGCTGGGACTACAGGCACATGCTACTACACATGGCAATTTTTTTTTTTTTTGAGAGATGGTGTCTCACTATGTTGCCCAGGCTAGTCTTGAACTCCTGGGCTCAAGAAATCCTCCTGCCACAGCCTCCCAAAGTGCTGGGTTTACAGGCATAAGCCACTGCACCAGGCCCATTTATTGGATTTAAAGAATGAAATGGTTTCATGGCAGGATGGGTGATAATTTAGAGTATGGGCTTTGGATTCAAATGGCGTCAGGTTTAAATCTTAAATCATCCTTGTTCCACTGCTGATTACTAATTACCACTTCTTGAGGGTATGACTGTTTACTTAACCTTTCTCAGCCTGTTTCCTCACTTCTAAACACTGATATATATATATATATATATATATATTTTTTTTTTAACCACTTTTGAGTGACAGGATCTGACTTGCTTTTTGAAGGGCTCACTCTTGTTTTTAGGTTGAAGATCACTTATTGGGAAGGGAATGCAAATAGAAAATACTGAAGATGCAAATGGCTCAGACCAAAGAGGAAGTGGTGGAGGGGCTGAGAAGCATCAGATTCTGCCTAGATTTTAAAGATAGAGCCTATGGAGCTTAGCAGGAGTTTGGATTTGGCATATGAGAGAACAGTGATTGAGAATGTCTCCAAGGGCTTGGGGCTGAGAAACTGGGAAGGATGGAGTTGCCACTAACTGAAATGAGAAACGTGGAAGGAAGAGAAAATTGGGAGGATGTTAGTTTGGGCATTAAGTTTGACAGATGAATTAGACGCCCAAGCATAATTGTCCAGTAGACAGTTCAATAAAGGAATCTAGAATTCAGGGGAGAGGTCTCTGCTAGCGATAAGCATTTAAGAGATTACATCATGTAGATGGTATTAAAGCCCATTAGAATGGATGATGTACTTAAATATTGAGCTTGGGAAGAGAAGAGAAGAACTTTGAGATCTGAGTTTTGAGGGATCTCAACATTTAGATGAAGAGGAACCAGTGAAAGGGACTGAGAAGGAGTGAGCATTGAGGGAGAAGAAGTCTAGGAGAATGAGAGGCCAAGAGGAGAGGTGTTTCAAGGAGGCAGGAGTGATTGGCTGCACCCATTGTTGTGGGAATGTCAAATAAGATGACAACCAGAATGGAACAATATTAGGTGATATGTAAATTTTTTTACATTATTATTAAAAGTTAATGATGTAGTAGAGCTTGACTCAGCAAACTTCTGAAAAACCATTTTATAAAAAAAACAAAAACAAAAACATCACTACCTCCATGGTAATGTCTAAAATGTTAATGCCCCATGCTTTTCATAGAGGGTTGATTTACAGCTAGACACACTTGAATTAACTATCAATTAGCTTTGCTTTTTAGGAATGTATCTCTATCACTCTGTCTGTACAGTAATACATTGCAATCTTGTATCATACCCATTATGACTTTATATTGAATTTATCTGTTGTCATCTCTTACCGTACACCGTGAGCTTCTTGAGAGCAGGGACTGTGGCTGCTATCCTCAAAAAAGCTGTATTGAGCAGAACTGAAGTCAGATAGGCCTGGTTGTGATGTATGCTGTGTCTTTGGTGGCATGGGTGGGTGGTGAAAGGTGGAATTTGTGATTACATTTCAGTACCAATTCTTCAGCACCGTTCTCTGACACTACTGAATTGTGTCCTTCAATTCAGTTCAATTCAGTCTAGTCCAATTCAGTCCAATCTGACATTACACAGGTTAAGCACAGACCCCACAACTTAAGGATTTAGTTCTACAAGACTGTCCCCACTCCAGACCCCAGTGACAAGTCTTGTGTATCACAAAACTACCTGCACTTCTACCCAGCTGACTACAAATTTGTGAGTTCCCATGACCCCATTCTGATTGTAGAATTCCCTGGAATGACTCACAGAACTCAGGAAAGTGCCACACTTAGATTGTGGTTCCTTTTATCACAAAGGATACAAATGAACAGCCCAGGAAAAGATACACAGAGTGGCAAGATCTTGGGTGGGTGGGCCACAGTAGCCTCTTCTGTCCCTAGGTGTCCTTGATATGTTAACCATCCAAGAAGCTCCTGGAACCTCATTGTCCTGAGTTTTTTTAATACAAGAGATTTGTTTGTTTGTTTTTGTTTTAATGTAGGCCCACTGATTAAATCTTTTGACCACATGATTGAACTGAATCTCCTCAGAGGTCTGGGGGCCTGGCTGAAAGTTCCAATCCTTTAATCACAGGGTTGGTCTTTCTGGTAACCAGCTCCCATCCTGAAGCTCTCTCAGGGCCCTGCCAAGAGTCACTTCATTAGCGTAACAAAGACACTCCTATCAATGGGGGAATCCCAAGAGATTTGGAAGCTCTATGCCAGGAACAAGGGACAAAAATCAAATTTCTTAAAATTATGCCACAGTGATTACGTTAACCAGGATGAAGGGAAATAATTGAGCTCCAGACCTTCCCCAAAGGGAGATGCTGTTCAGAGGAACACAGAAACTTTGATATGACCCATCCTGGCATTGACTCAAAGTAGCCTTGGCTGTTGGATGGGGCATGGGAAAGAACAGACTGGTTAGAGAGCAGCATCTTGGCTCAGTCAGGATGGTTCTTCCTCTTGAAGAAAGCCTTCTACCAATGCTAAAAGTGGGATGAGAGATAGGCTGATCCTATTCTCTAGACAGAGGGGTTGATGCGTTGTATCTGGTGGGCTACAGTCAAGGATGGCCATAATTCCATCAGAACTCAGGTGGTGATCAGGGGAGACATTGGGTGAGATTAAGGAAAATGAGATTAATTAAGGGCTCAAATCATGGCCTACTGTACCAGGTTCTTTACACATAACCACAACAGTCCTTTGAGGTAGTGATTCGGTTTTCACCCACATATGCTTGTTGAGCCACTGTTGTGTTCCATACACTATATTAGGCACTGAGAATAAGCCTGTGAGTAAGCCTGATATGGTGCCTGCCAGTTAAGGAGCTCTTAGTCTACTTGAGGATAATTACAAACTAGCAATAGCAGTGTAAAGTTCTAAGTGCAAGGCAGGGTGTTTTGGAAGGGCAACAAAGGAATCGGAGGGGGAGTACCTCACATAAAATCATTTAGCTAGTAAGGGCTGGACCCAGGAATTGAACCCAGTTTTTTCTGACTCCAAAGCCAGTTTTCCCCATGATATCACACTGTCCAGCCTGCAGAAGCAAGGTGTCAGGAAGGAGAGAGGCTGTGTAGCACAGCTCACCATCCCCTGAGGCTGTGGCAGCAGGACCAGCTCAGGCCCTGCCCATTGGTGGGTCATGATTGGCATATTGACCACCTGAGTTTGGGGGTGTTTATTGAAGGGTTCCTATGTTGGCTGCCAAGTAGGGCTGCTGTCTGCGAATCCACTAAAGATGTTTCGGGTTGGTTCTGCCATACTGCAAGGTGTTCGTACAGCATCTTCCTGCTTCCACCTAGTGCCTGCCCAGGGATCATATCCTTGTTTGGGCGTGGCTTCCATCCACTCAGTTAAAAAGAACTGCTGTCTCTTTCTACTTAATGATGTACGTAGCTCTGCTGAGCATAGGGACCAGAGACACGGCTGCAGTCTGGTCACTGGTAGTTCAAAGGGGAGGTGGCAGACATGAAATGACAGCAGGATTCTCTCAGTTTCTAAGCCAGCGAGGTAAGTTTTCAACTCTAGAACTCTAGAAGGGAGGACTTGGGCTGCATACCCCTGGACCAAAGTTGTGGACCAAAGCATTCCCATTGCCACACAAAGCACCCTCTTCTTTTAAAAATAAAATAGATGTGCTACGCTTCTGGAAAGCTCCACTTTCCTGAATGATGTTAATTCCCCTCAGTTTCTTGGTCCCTCCCCTCTCCTGGTTTTCTAACAAATGACCACATTGATCATACATCTGAATAGCACTTGCCTTTGGTTTCTGAAGAACTGAAGGAGGAGAGGCATTTTGGCGGCAAAAGGAAGTTATGAAAGAGCCCTACATGTCAGCTGGTGGAGATCTTCTGCAGGAGCATTCAGAGAAAGGACAGGAGAAGTGTCAGCCTGCTGGAAGGAACTCTGCAGGGCTCAATGGGGAAGCCAGGCAAGGTGCCCTAATGACCCAGGAGGCGTGTGATGTGGTGCAGCTGTTTCCAGATTCAGTGTGTTACAATTCACTGGTATTAATGATAAAGTATGAACAAGTGCAAATTATTTACTTTGTAAGAAAAGTTAAACTGGATATAGGATTATTCCTATCATAACTCCCATGAAGACATGATTCCTTCATTTCGTAAATGGGGGAAATAAGGAATGGAGTTACAACCAACATGCACAATTGAGCACAATTATACCTATCCCTATGACAATGGGTCTCGTGTATGTATGTTTTCTCCATGTGAGTCTATAGAAAGACAGTATGTGAACCTGTACTGTAGTGAATCAGGTCCAGATTCCCTGGCATTGTGAACAAGGCCCAGCCTGGCTCACCCTCTCTGGGTGTATCCATTACAAGAGCTTTCTCCCCATTTCTCCCTAAGCATGCTGGCCACTAAACTGGCAGTGCCCCAAGCCTACTCAGCTCATCTACTTCTGAACTGTGTTACTCAAAGCTCCTTCCACCCCAGCCCCCTGTTCTCTTGGAGTCCTGAGCTCAGCTGAGCCTCCCTGGAAGCTGTCTCAACAGCCATCTCCCTGACTTATTATTGCTCCCATGTTTCCTCTATAACAACACTTAGGACTTCTATATTGTCCACCACACTAAAGCACCTCAGGATAGGACCAGAAGTTTCTGTCATTGTATTTCTGTAAATGTATTTTCTGTTCATGTATTTTGAAGGAGCAAGGAAGGAAGGAAAGGAAAAAGGAAAGAAAGACTAAAGGACAGACTATGCCCTTGGGTTCCATTGTAGCTTTTCTGTAGCTTGACCTCAAGCAAGTTTCTTTACCTCTCGACCCTTTGTTTCTTCTGCTAGAAAAGAAAAAAAAGGAACAATAACAACAATAATAATATTTTTCTCACTGAATTTTTGCAAAGATCTAATGAGAAAATATTTGTAAAGGGCGTAACAGTGCCTGGCCCTTGGAAAGCAGTAAATAAATGCTAGTTTCTGGCCAGTTTCTCCTAAATGGTTACTTTGGGCAAATAAAAATAAAAAGTAACACATGAAAAGAACCAGGGACAATAATCTATAAAGCAAAAAAAAAAAAATGACATTTAACTACTGGCCATTTTAGGATAGAACATTTCTGTTATTTAAATATGAAGCAGAGGGTAATGTTGCAGTTAGGAGATGTCTTGGGGCATTTTGCAATAGGAACAGAAAAAATGGATATTTTTTGTTTACCCTTCTCTGAGAAAATGAACCACAAATGTCTGTCTTTCTCAAGGCCAAAGTAGGGAGAGTGTGACTGCTGAAAGTACAGACTGAGTATCCTCATGATGTTATTCTCAAAGGCCTTACTAATTCAGGAGGGAAGGACACAGGAATTATGGTCTCTAGAAGTCATGCATCCAAGCCCCATATGTGCTAGGCAGTTCAATTCCAGAGTATCATAGTTTTGTGAAAATAGTATTTTGTAACGTTTTGTGAAAATAGATTTGGGTAAAAGAAATGTCGCTATCAGGTGACCTTAAGCATGTCTTTTTTTTTTTTTGTAATGCCACATATGGTCATACCGTGTTAGCCTTTTTTAAAATTATTATTATACTTTAAGTTCTAGGGTACATGTGCACAACGTGCAAGTTTGTTACATATGTATACATGTGCCAAGTTGGTGTGCTGCACCCATTAACTCGTCATTTACATTAGGTATATCTCCTAATGCTATCCCTCCCCCATCCCCCCACCCCACAATAGGCCCCAGTGTGTGATGTTCCCCTTCCTGTGTCCAAGTGTTCTCACTGTTCAATTCCCACCTATGAGTGAGAACAGGTGGTGTTTGAATTTTTGTCCCTGCAATAGTTTGCTGAGAGTGATGGTTTCCAGCTTCATCCATGTCTCTACAAAGGACATGAACTCATCCTTTTTTATGGCTGCATAGTATTCCATGGTATATATGTGCCACATTTTCTTAATCCAGTCTATCACTGATGGACATTTGGGTTGGTTCCAAGTCTTTACTATTGTGAATAGTGCCACAATAAACATACGTGTGCATGTGTCTTTATAGCAGCATGATTTATAATCCTTTGGGTATATACCCAGTAATGGGATGGCTGGGTCAAATGGTATTTCTAGTTCTAGATCCTTGAGGAATCGCCACACTGTCTTCCACGATGGTTGAACCAGTTTACAGTCCCACCAACAGTTTTGTTCTTATTTCTCCACATCCTCTCCAGCACCTGTTGTTTCCTGACTTTTTAATGATCGCCATTCTAACTGGTGTGAGATGGTATCTCATTGTGGTTTTGATTTGCATTTCTCTGACGATCAGTGATGATGAGCATTTTCTCATGTGTCTGTTGGCTGCATAAATGTCTTCTTTTGAGAAGTGTCTGTTCATATCCTTTGCCCACTTTTTGATGGGGAGCATGTGTTATAACTTCTCTAAGGCTCTGTTTCCCTGGTTGTACAATGGATATGCTAATAATACCTGCTATTAGAAGACTGATAAAAGGACCACAGGTTATGATGGATAGGAAGTCTTATGTGAAATCTGCAAGTAGTACTAATGTTAATTATGGTTATGGTTGTTACCATCCAGGTCTCCATTTCAAACCTCACCCCACCAAGCCCTCCTGGGAATTGTTTTACATTGCATGATGAAACGATGCAGCTGAATGATTTTAGCTCAGAGCATACTCTCTATGGGTATGTTCCACTAGTGTCCTTGGAAAGATCCTCCTGGCTTTCCAGACAGATTATAGCAAGATGACCACCAGCCAAATGAACCCCTCAAAGGACTTTTGAAACTGCAAAGCCTACCATGTCACATTCTTCCCAGTGCTTTTGGGGCCTGAAAAACATAAATTATTACTGACAGCCTTGAATCAGGGCCAGTACAGTTCACCCTGGAGCATTTATTCTTTACATTTATGTGCAGACAACCATTCTAGGCCTTGTGAGATCTTCCCTCAAGAAGCTTGTAGTCTAATGTATTAGTTAGCTACTGCTGTATAGCTAATTACCACAGACTT
The DNA here is from genome assembly GCF_000001405.40 of Homo sapiens. Lineage (NCBI taxonomy): Eukaryota > Metazoa > Chordata > Mammalia > Primates > Hominidae > Homo > Homo sapiens. The sequence continues at coordinate 57,219,960 of NC_000001.11, read as the reverse complement.
AGTGGCTTTAAACAGCACACATTTATTATCTGACAGTTTCCATGGGTCAGGGGTCTCGGCCCAGCTTTGCAGGGTCCTCTGCTCAGGGGTCTCTCAATGCTGCCTTTCTTTCCGGATTCTGGGCTGTGTTCATTTTGTGGAGCTTGGGATCCTCTTCCAAGTGCATATGGTTGCTGGCAGAATTTAGTTCTTGTGGTTGCAGGACTGAGGTCCCTGTTTTCTTGCTGACTACCATCCAGGGCTTGAACTGAGCTCCTAGAAGTCCCCAAATTCTCTGCCACAGGGTCCCCTCACACACCTTCTCACAAGGCACCTTCAGTAGGAGAATCTGTCACTGCAGTCTGCTAAAATGGAGTCTTATATAATTTATGTAATCCTGGAGGTGACCATCCACCATTTTTGCTGATTTCTATTAACTACAAGTGAGTGTCAGGTTCCCCTAGCCCTCAAGGGTGTGGCTCAGTGGGATCACCTTAGGGTGGATCTGCCACATATGGTATGGGAGAGGGATTCTAAATAAATAGATTTGAAAGCACCAATTTGCCTAACCTGAACTGGTCTCATTTGAAATGAGAGAAATAAGAGCAATATCATGGCTTCTAAAGCCATACTGATTGAATGGAAAGGCTATCTTTTATTCTGAGATTTTCCTTCTGGAGTGTTTATGTGTGTGTGTGTGTGTGTGTGTGTGTGTGTTGAAATGCCTCTTTTTAGATGAAATGACTGTGATAGTAGATAATATTTTAAAAACTATTCTTGATTAGTAAAATATAAAGGTAGCAACCCTATAATGGTCACTGTAAGGTATTTATTTTTAATTTCACTAATTCATAAAAATCCAAACTGTATAACTACTAAGGTATTGGCTCCCAATCTACTTTAGAAACAGAGACTATCCTCTATCCATGCGATAGAAAAAGGAATGTTTAGTGTGGTTTGCTTAGATTATTTACAGATCAAGAATGTTTTTGTTAGGCCTTTACCCAGCTTCCAAAGCTTTATCTTCCCCCTGTATAATTCCAGACCAGAGCAGGATGTTCTGCTGTGGCTAGATAAGCCCCTCCCCTCACCGCTGCTGGCCGTCCTCATCTTGACAGAGAGAAATAGGTCTAAGGCCCTGCATCCTTTATCTCACCAAAGCTGCTTTATCCAAGCTGCCCTTTCTCATCTGCCACCTACTTTTGCACCCAGCTCTCTTGAGGACACTTAGTTACTTTTTTTTCTAGTCACTGTGAACACAGAACAGGCTATGGAATGTGCTAAAATATGGATTATGGGAGCATTTATATATGCTCTGTCACCCTGGTTCATGATCATGGCTCATTGCAGCCTAGACCTCCCACGCTCAAGCGATCCTTCCACCTCAGCTTTCTGAGTAGCTGCTGCATCATCACCGCACCTGGCTAATTTTTTTCTGTTTTTTTTTTTTTTTTTTTTTTTTTTTTAGAGATGGGGGTCTCACTATGTTGCTCAGGTTGGCCTCAAACTCCTGAGCCCAAGTGATCCTCCTACCTCAGCTTCCCAAAGTTTGGGATTGCAGATGCGAGCCACCAAACCCTGCTCTGGTTATGAAAGCTTTAGGAAAGAAAAGATAATTCTGCCCAGGATGTTAAACAAAGATTATTTATAAGAGATGTTGTTTGAACTGGGCCTTAAGGTGGGATTTTGAGAGGCCAGTATACTGAAGATGTTGTGGATAGATAAATGCTTTAAACAAGAGGACACACAGCCAGGGAATGCTTTCCCTTTCCTCGGTGCCTTTGCATGTGCTGTGTCTTCTGCCTTCCACGGCTTTCCCAACCTCGTCCGGTTGGTAGATACCATAGTTAACTTTCAAGGCACAACTCAGACGGCTCTTCAAGGAATTCTTCTCTGCATTCCTACAGCATGGTATAATGCAGTATTTTGGTACTTGTCACGTTTCCATAATTATGGGTCTCCCTCATTAGACTGTGAGTTCCTGGAGGCCACTGATTACTGTTTGTGTTTTTTTCCTTGGGACCTAGTAGTATCTGACACCTGTATCCTTGTTTGGATGAATGAAAATGAATGAACGGTGATTACGCCCCTGCAGCTTGAGTAGAAGGTATATAGGGAGGTGTAGCTGGATAGTGGGGTGGGGTGGGGGGATTGGTAGGTGTGATCAGATCTTAGAGTTTAAATGCAAGTTCAATAATTTATTCTTCAGATTGATGGGTCAGTGGATATCCCTGAATGAGACAGTGTCACCATCAGAACTATGAATTAGGGTGAACAGTTTTATCAGGAAAATAAAAAATGACTATTGGCTTTAGTGCATTCTGTGGCCCTGTGGTTCCAGTCACCTAGACTGGAGGTTTTGCCAAATAACTCTTGAGATTTTGGTCACCTTGCTCCATTTACATGGACTTTTTGTGTAAAAGATAGGGATGTGTTTCAGTGATAAGCTTCTCTTTTTTTCAGAGTATTTATTTGTGTTCGTTTTCTTTTTTGGCTTCCTCTAGTTGGAGACTATGATAACACAAATTGGAGGTAGCTCAATGTCATTTTTGGACCGATAAGGACATATAATTCAGGTCCTTCACCTTGCCCAATTCATTCTAGCAAGCTGACTTTCCCTCAGGCCCCATAAGGCTGACCAAGCAATAGAAAAGACCAGACTTTATAATACACTTTGATGCAGAACTTAAAGAACATATTTTTAATTTAAATATCCTTATCTTCAAAGAGTTTGAAGAAGTTGATTAAGATACTAAGCCATTTAAGCACTGTGATAGAGATAATAGGTATTTCAGGAGGAAACTAAGAGTGATCCCATCCCTTCTGAAAGATAATTTATTTTCTTAGGCAGTTCTTTCAATATCGTTATCTGTGCCATCCTGAGAAGGCCAGTTTTGTAGGTCATGAAACTAAGCAAAATCACCCAGGAGGTAAGACCCTGCAGGTGATTGGATGGAAAACTCACCATAATATCAGGACATGAAGTCCCTGGATGGCCCAGTAAATAGCTGTTGAATGAATAAAATTTACACAGCCTGAAATTCTACTAGAGCCTCTCTAGAAAGGAAGTCAGAAAAAGCACTGGTTTTAGAATGAGGAGAACCTGAGTAGAAATCCCAGTCCTGCCTTACGTCAAGTAGTGTAGGTCTATGGGCAGTTTCTAGAATCTTGCTGCTTCCAAGTTCTGTTGTCTGTAAAAATGACAATAAAATATCTTGCAAGGTTACCTTGCAAGGAAATTTATTTAAATGTACCTTTTCAACTACAAAGTGGCATATAAATAAAAGGGATGATTGTAAATATAGTGACTGTGATTATCTTGTACTTTATTATAGGTCTCTCTGAGTATGCGTTTTCTTCTAAACTAGATTACAGTCTCCTTAAGGACATGGACCTGGCTTGCCTCAACCCACAGTGACAATCTTATTTAGAGCCAAAACTGGCAACCTCTCATTTGATAATAACAAGTTTTACTTATAGGGAAACTAAAGGGAATGTTTGAAAATGACATCATCTTGGATATCCAGGGTATACCTATAACTTTTCCCGTACTTTATAGGACCTGGGATAATGCCACAAACTTAATGAGTATCAGTGGAATTATACTTCTTTATGATTATATAAAGGAGTTACTTTAATTGACTACCTGTTGTGCTAAAGGTACCCTGCTGGAAGCCATATGTGCACTTACCCTTATAGCAATTCCAGAGAGGCACATTCACTCCACCTTATAGGTAAGGAGGCCGAAAGGATCAGATAAGGTAAGTAACCTTCCTAAGGCTACACAGCTAATAAACTGAAGAATAAAATCTAAGTCCACATACTAGATTTTTAAAGGCCATGATTTGTCACTGAGTAGCAACTTAAGTGGTCCCAACACACCCATGCAAACCACAGTATTAATGTGTAGAAAGCAAAGAGCAAGCCAAAGACATCTATTTCCAGAATTAATTCTGATTAGTTCCTTCCTGTCTGCCTGCTTTGGTCTGATTCATCTGGTCCTCCAATCAGTTGGGGCCTACTCTTCAGATCCCAGTGGGGTCTCCCACGGAGTCCTTTATGCACATGCTGATCACAAAGAGGAGGCTGTGTCCCCCCAGGCCCTTTCACACACAGCTACTAGTGTAAGCTTGGCCTTTTCCAAATAGGGGCTTTCAGAAATGCATGGACATTCCATAGCACCAGTCTGAATTCATGTCGAAGGAAAAAAGTGGATAAGAAACCAAGTGCCTGCCTAAGTCTAGTTGGGGAGGAATAAAGGAGATGGAGGGAGGCAATTTTTTACTTTCAGTGATCACTGTGTTTCCATTCGAAGTGGGATGACCTTCTAAGAAAGGTTATAGAATCATTATTAAAGATCGTCAGAGCTGACTAGACACTGGATTAATGGGGATTTGGTAGATTTCTATAAAGAGCGCTTGAACACAAAATTCACGGTCCAACACAAAGACGTTTTTTTCAAACTCAAAGACTGTGTGCTCAGAAAGTTTCTGGTTGCAGGGAGTTAATATAGGACATAATTCAGGGTGCAGAATTTTCAGATGAAGCTATCAAGGCTAAGGCTGGCATTCTTGAGTGGCACTTTGTTTCCTCTTCTCCCATGTTCTGAATGCGGTGTCAAATAACGGAAATGGTTTGTTTTAGCAAGTCCTCACAGGGAGCAACTGTTTCTTTTATTAAGCTTCTCCTTGCAGATTCTTCCCTGCTTGCCTTTACTCTGATTTGGAAAACATTGCTTTTTCCCAACACTTTTCACATCAAACTAATATTATGCATTCATCACAGTGAGGGAAGCTGTGAGATTGCAGCTCAGGATCAAACCCCAAATACAACAGTCTCTGTGGGATAACTGGACTCTCACAGGGTGAATTTGAGTCATGAAAGAGCTTTTTGTTAGGTCCTGGGATGTGAACAATATTCAAGTGATTATTTAGTTCATTGTCTCCCAGTCTGGAATCTTACATTTCTCTCCATTCTCAAATTTAATGAATCCTTCAGCAATTTTCACCATGTGTTTTGTTTTGTTTTGTTTTTCTTGCCTTTTTTCTTTCTTTTTTTTTTTTTTTTTTTTGAGAGGGAATCTTGCTCTGTCGCCCAGGCTGGAGTGCAGTGGCGTGATCTCAGCTCACGACAAGCTCCACCTCCTGGGTTCACGCTATTCTCCTGCCTCAGCCTCCTGAGTAGCTGGGACTACAGGTGCCCGCCACCACGTCTGGCTAATATTTTTGTATTTTTAGTAAAGACAGGGTTTCACCATGTTAGCCAGGATGGTCTCGATCTCCTGACCTTGTGATCCACCCACCTTGGCCTCCCAAAGTGCTGGGATTACAGGTGTGAGCCACTGCGCCCGGCTTGTTTTGTTTTTCTAAGGTGAAACAGAAAGTGTGCTCCCTTCCTCTTAGGCTAGGTAGGGCAACAAAAATAGCAATTGCTATTGGGTTACAATTTATCAACTCATTGTGACTATTCTGGATGGCTCTTGCTTATACTGGTTTAAAAAAACTTGAGAAATGAAATTATGATTAGGTAACTGTAGTGTGACAGACAAGAATCTCTCTTCTATTAATCTATTTATGATCCACCTCAAACCAAAGGGCAGTTGAGGGTTGCTGTGATTTGAATGTGTCCCCTCCAAAATTCAGATGTTGCCAATGTGATGGTATTAAGTGGTGGGCCTTTAGGAGGTGATTAGGCCATGAGGACTTCTCCTTCATTAAAGAGAATAAAGCCCTTTTAAAAGAAGCTTTACATAGTTCCACTTTTCACTTTCTGCCATGTGAGGACTCAGCAAGAAGGCCCTAACCAGACACCAAGTCTGCTGGCCCCTTGATCTTGGACTTTCCAAGACTCCAGAACTGTGAGAAACAAATGTCTGTTCTTTATAAATTGTCCTGTCTCAAGTATTTGTTTTAGCAGCACAAAAAGGACTAAGACAAGTGTTTTCTTCAGTGACTGCATTATACTTAATAGATCCCACTGCATTGCAATTACCTTTTGGTATACCTGCTTCCCTGACTACTAAGGGCAAACAGCAAATCTGACTCATGTCTAAGACCCCAGTGCCTAGCATGGGGCTTGCCTAAGTACATGCTTAATGAATCATGGAATTTTATAGGGAAAGAAGACCAGAGAGAGAAAGTGGATTGGGAGGAAGAGATTGGGACAAGAAAATAACAAGCAAGCAAAAGAAAGAGAAAATGGTGAAATATTGAAATGTTCCTGGGTTGGTTGAACTACTTCATTTTATGGTAAAGCAACAGGGTCCGAAAGAGGTTACCTGCCTGTAGGGTGATGCTACCCAAACTTTGTTGTGCAGTTCTGATGTTTTCTTCTTCCTCTCCTTAATTCTTCACCTAAGGAGAAAAAGATGGAGGTAGAAAGAAAACGTGATTATTATGGCAAACTTCCTCTGGGGCCTGGTGGAGCCAGCATTTTGTATGACTGTAGTTTGAGATGAACTGTAGGGAAAGTGTTTTTTGGATCATTCTTTTTCTAGATCTGCCCAGGGCCCAAAGGCCAGGACTCTGTCCACCCTGACCCTATCTCTAGATCTACACTATCTATTTTGGTGGCCGTGAGTGACATGTGGCTGTTGAGCACCAGATGTATGGCTAGATGAAATTGAGATGTGTAGTACATGCAAAATACATGCAGATTTCAATGCCTTAGTACTGAAAAAAGAAAAAGATTGTCAAAAATCTAAGTAATTGTTTATATTGGTTGTATGTTGAAATGATAATAGTTAAGATAGGTTAAAGAAAATACATTAATAGAATCCCACCCCCCATCCCCCATTTCTTTGTACCTTTTAAAATGTGGTCACTAGAACATTTAAAATTCTATCTGTAGCTTGCCTTTTTTCTTTCTTTTTTTTGGACAATGCTGCTTTAGATCACCCAGCTGGGCCCTGGGCAGCACAGTCCACTAGGACCTAGACTCGCCTCCCACTCACTGCACCTTCTGCCTCTATTGTCCTCTAGTCCTTTGCACCATAGCACGCCTCTGTGCAGCCCCCTGCCTGCCACACTTCACTGGCTAGATTCTCAGGCCGTCAGTGTTGCCTTTTCTGTACCTTACAGCTCAGCGCAGGATGGCAGAAGGGTTCTGAGACTGGGGTGACATCCAGCCTTGAGTCCAAACTCTAACACTGATTAGCTTCTTAAACTTGAGAAAGACAGGGCACCTATTTGAATGCTGGGTTCCCTTGGTTTAAAATGAGGTAACAATAAAACCCTACCTATTTCATAGGAAGTTGTCAAGATGAAAATCAAAATGAATTAGTGCATATGAATGTGCTTTGTAAATAATGAAATAAGGCGGGGCGCGGTGGCTCACACCTGTAATCCCAGCACTTTGAGAGGCCGAGGCGGGTGGGTCACGAGGTTAGGAGATCGAGAACATCCTGGCTAACATGGTGAAACCCCATCTCTACTAAAAATACAAAAAGTTAGCCAGGCGTGGTGGCAGCCGTCTGTAGTCCCAGCTACTCCGGAGGCTGAGGCAGGAGAATGGCATGAACCCAGGAGGTGGAGCTTGCAGTGAGCTGAGATCGCGCCACTGCACTCCAGCCTGGGCAATGGAGTGAGACTCTGTGTCAAAAAAAAAAAAAAAAAAAAAAAAAAGGAAATAATATATACATGTAATATTACCAGTAATTATGTTTTAGTTTTTATATCATAATCATTATTGTCTTTATCCAGCCCCTTTCTCTAACCACCTAATCTCGGACCATTTGCTTCTCCTCACTGGGGGTCTGGTCATTCGTAAAACAGGGGGATGGGCTAGGTATCCCTTCAGCTCTGTGACTTCATGGCCAGATACAGAATGCTGCCTTGTAGAGAATATAGGTTTAGGAGGCAGACCACTTAGTGTTAAATCTTACTCACTCTTAAAATTATAGCATGCATGCATTCTCTGGCTCTGCCTGTGTAGAGGTCTATTGTAGCAACAGTTATGGCCACAGTAAAAACAAAATTGCATAAATATATACAGGCATTCCTCAGTATCTTTGGGGGATTGGTTCCAGGATTTCTGTAGATACTGAAATCCACAGATGCCCAAGTCCCTGATATAAAGTGTTGCAGTATTTACACACAACTTATGCACATCTTACCATATTCTTTAAATCATCTCTAGACTACCTGTAATACCTAGTACAATGTAAAGGCTTTATAAATAGTTGCTGTATTATATTTTTATTTGCATTATTGTTATTGTTTTTTACTTTTTCTAAAGTTTTTGGTCTACATTTGGTTGAATCCTCAGATGTGGTACCTGTGATTACAGAGGGCTGACTGTACACAATAAAATCTTAACTTTGTGTAGCCCTTTGGAACTTAGTTTTGACATATAACATTTTTTATTTGATGTTTCCACAACACTGAAGTAAGTATATCCATCATCCCAGTTTGCAGGTAAATAAATGGAGACACAAGGGTTAAGTGGTGTCTCTTGGGTCACCCATCCTTAAAGTGATGATTCAAAGCAAGGATTTGAATGCAGCACCTCTCACTTCCCAGCCCCATACTCTTCCCTATACATCATACCATACCTGTGATAGAATGAGAAGAGAACAGACTTTCTTTGTTAAGTTTGTTACAAAAGTGATACAAGCACTCTACTTGTATCACTTTTAACACCATGGCCTCTGTGTGGCCATATCCCTCAAGATGGTCCTTGGGGTCCCACCAGACCGCAGCAGTTTAGTACTTGGGAGGCTACAGCTGTTTCCTCCAAAAGATCTTCACTGAAGAGCCTTAACGAACTCTGAGTGTTTTCATTGACTTTTCTGATCTTCCAACTCAAGTTAAAAGCATCATTTTGCTTCGCTGTCAGTCAATTTCACTTTTGTGAGAATTTTAAAGATGTATAAGCCCCTAAGGTGACAGTCTCAGCCTGATGCTGTCACACTGAGCTGTGTCATATTGAATTCTGTCACTGAAGAGAAACAAAATGAAATGCACCCAGGTGTAAAATTCCAGGACTTGTTCATTCTTATCAATACCAGATTAGAATGGCAGAGTCTAATATTTTGAAATTGATATGATGAAGATTGATGTTTTAACTTTAATGGGTTGGTAGTAAAATGTATTATTTGTGTATGGATGTATTCATATACATGCATACACATGCATAGGCAGTGAAAACTATTTCATCTGGCCCCGTTTTTAAATTTTTAAAATATTTTCTATTGGTAACTAAACTCAGTACCTGCTACAATGTCAACACCCTCTCTTTTGCCTTCCTTTTGAAACCAAATGAACTCGATTGCAACTACATGGCCTTTTTCATCAAATTTATTGATAAGCCTTTGGATTGAGATGAACTTTTATCTGTGTGTGTGTGTTTAGGTACATTTTTTGTAGTGTTCCTCAAAATGCAGATTATTTTTTGAGACAGTAAGTTGATGAATGAGGCCTTTGGTATACCACTAATGAGACTCAGCAGTCTAGGAGACACGGCCCTTTTATAACATTTACCAAGAAATCACTATGCCTCAATTTCTGTGCCCTCCAACACTGGGATATGTAGGCCCCTGCTGTCTTTACCTACCAGGACACAGGCTGAAATGTTTTATGCATTATTTTTGAGTTTCATCATTTTTCAGCAGAACATTTTATTTTTAAGAATTATATGACAGAAAATTTTTAAATGACTGTTCTATCTTATTGTCCTTTGCAAGTGTGCTTTTGGTTATTTTTAAAAATCATAGCAGTAGACATTATTCTTTAAAATGTTAATGGAAATGTTACATCCCCAAACCATCCAATAATGATGGCTCTAGCAACACAATGCTTATTAATATTAATACTGGTGTTAATGAGAGCAGCTAACATAGGTCAAGATTTTAAGCACCGTTTTAGACATTTTTCTGCCTTCCCATTTAATTGTCATAATAATCCTAGAAGTTAGGCATTATTATCTCAATTTTATTAATGAGGAAACTGAGGCTTAAACAGGTTAAGTCATTTGGCTAAGTAAGGTCACACAGTTTGTAAGAAGCTAAAATGAGATTTCAATTTAGGTCTTTTTAGTCCAAGCCATGTGGCTTTTCTGTAATCATATAAATACCTTTGCCTGTGAAATTTCATTATGTTCCTATTACAGTAGACCAGGTAGGTTGAGAGAGGGACTGGTGTGTGTGTGAGGGGGAGAGGGAGGATACAAATACTGGGACCAGAGGAGAGAAACAATTGAGAGCCATTGAATTAAACAATAGGGAGAGGGCGAAGTATTATGAACTAGGCATTACACACATTGGTTTCTCTCACTTTGCAGTTGCTGGTTATCCAGTAACAGTAGACAAAGTTCAAGAGCAGATTAAGGTCAAATAAAGCAGCAAAATGTTAGCTGTCAGATCTGTTCAACTCAGTGATGGGAGATGTGAATTATATTACAGGGTGGTCCTCTTACCTTGAAAAACAAAGGTGTGGAGTAGAATTGAAGCTGGCCACCAGGCATCCATCTTTTCTTGTGATTAGGTAAAGGGCATTATTGACAGCAGCAAGCACAACTTATAGTAGAGGAACAGTGTTCACTGGAAGCTTTTATCCCTGCAAATAGCCAGTTTGCAACGTGAAGAACAGACTTCCCCCAATTCATTTAACTGTCTTTGCAGCAGCGGAAGAGCATATTTTTAAGCAGAAAAATCAGTGTGTTTAAAGCATATGGTTTAGGCTTTCCACACTTTGCTATAAACATAGTAGTGTTCATAAATGCTGTTAGAATGAATAAAAACCCAAGCTAGAAACACTCAGTGCAGTAATGCAACTTCCCTGAAGAATCACCATCCCTCATGGCCCTCCCATCCCCTCAGTTTATTCTTCCATCTATTTCTTATTTACTCAATTGCTTGTTCTGTTCAGTAAGCCTCCATCACATATTTACTAAGCCAGGCCCTGTGCCAAGTGATGGACATAGGTGAATCTGACATGCCATCTGCAGCTCACCTTCTCAAGGAGAAACTAGCAGTTGAACTGTATGCCTTGTGTGTCTCCAGCAACACCTTGTGACACAGTGCATTTATCTCTGAAGCTTACAATAGAGTCCAAATTCCTTGTGTCTTGGCCTGAACGCACTGTCTGTAATTCTCAAGGTTTCTGTTTCACAGTCTTGCATAGGTCAAGGTGGCTTTGGAATCTCTGTGGATTTGAATCTCAGTCTTGCCATGTCTTTAGCTCTTAACTTTTCTAGGCCTCAGTTTCCTCATCTACAAAATGGGGATGAAAATTAATAAATAGGTGTATCATGTAAACTGGAGAAAGAAAATGCATTAAAATCACCTGCCACAGTACCTGGCCCTAAAGTCCCTTCAAGGAAGAATGGATTCATTATTTTAAAAAATAACTACTCATCACTTACCATGTGCCAGATACTATTTTAGGTTCTTCAACTACAGAGATGGTTGAGGTACAGATAGTTTTAGTGGAATGCTACATATACGCCTAAGGAGACAGCTGCTGAAGAATAAGGAGGAGTAAGCCAGGTGAGGTGGTCTGAAAGGCTGTTGTTCCTAAGGGAAGAGTGTGATCCATGGTACCTAAACAGGAAACCTCATTTGAAAGGGGAGCAGATGCTCATCCCTCACTGTATCCCTTGGTTCCTGTCATTCCAGTGCTAACTGCTCATAGCTGCATTTCTGAACTGGCTTCCCAAAAACTGAGGAAGGCCACTGCTGATCTGAGCACAGGTCAGACATTTAAGGTTCTTGACATACTTGGGAGCAGCCCTTGACATATGACTCTTAGAAATTAGTGTATAAATACCCCAACTCCCTCACCCTTTGGGGATCAAAAATCTGAGGAGTGTGTTTTATGCTGCTTTTCAGTTTCCTGGCATCTGGCTTAATGATGCACCTTTTATGGTCTACTTTCTCTTTCTTATATCGTTTCCTCACTCCCATGACAGTGTTATTTGCAACTCCCAAATAAATTACTTGCATTACAATCCTTATTTCAGGGCCTGCTTTAGGGCAGCTCAAACTAAGACAGGAAGTATTTCCCCACCTTGGGTTCCAGGAAGGTCACTGTGCCTATTTCAAGGTCTTTGATCTTCATAGACACTTTTTATGTGACCTGACAAGTCAGCCATCAACTTGTTTTGAACTGAGCCTTTATTAAACTTATAAAAATCAAGCCCTTTAAGATATGAATACATAGCCCATCCCAGGACTTGACACCTTGCTGGAAGAAGTTACTATCTAGAGAGGCAGTTGAGTTCTCTTTGAAAGGAAATAAGGTGCCGGGCGCGGTGGCTCACGCCTGTAATCCCAGCACTTTGGGAGGCCGAGGCGGGCGGATCACGAGGTCAGGAGATCAAGACCATCCCGGCTAAAAACGGTGAAACCCCGTCTCTACTAAAAATACAAAAAATTAGCTGGGCGTAGTGGCGGGCGCCTGTAGTCCCAGCTACTTGGGAGGCTGAGGCAGGAGAATGGCGTGAACCCGGGAGGCGGAGCTTGCAGTGAGCCGAGATCCCGCCACTGCACTCCAGCCTGGGCGACAGAGCGAGACTCCATCTCAAAAAAAAAAAAAAAGAAAGGAAATAAGGTATGAATTACAGTAATCTATTCTATCATTTTTATAAATGAACATGAAAGTATTTTCTGCTCTTTCTTTAGGGGAACTCATGAACTGAAGGGTTCAAAGTTTTATCATCTACATTTTCACGATATCTGGAGCAAATGCTATTTGTTAATAATGAAAATGAGTGTGGGCTGGGAGCAGTGTGTCACGCCTGTAATCCCAGCACTTTAGGAGGCTGAGGCGGGTGGATCACTTGAGGTCAGGAGTTCAAGGCCAGCCTGACCAACATGGTGAAACCCTGTCTCTACTAAAAATACAAAAATTAGCCAGGCACAGTGGCACATGCCCATAATCCCAGCTACTCGGGAGGCTGAGGCAGGAGAATCACTTGAACCTGGGAGGCGGAGGTTGCAGTGAGCCGAGACTGCGCCATTACACTCCAGCCTGGGCAACAAGAGCGAAACTCCAAAAAAAAAAAAAAAAAAAAAAGGAAGGAAGGAAAGAAAGAGAAAGAGAAAGAAAGAAGAAAAGAAGAGTTGTGTTTGTCATTTAAGTGTCTGGGATGTGTCACATATCATATACATGGCATAACACTCACACCCTTGTTTTACACATGAGATGAAAAAGGGGCTAAATCAGGGTTTAATTCCAGGTCTTTCTGACTCCAAAACGCCTGTGTCCTTTTCTGTTTCTACATATTGCCTCTTGATGAAGCCCCTTGCTTAGGACTCAGTTCTAGTTTATAGACACTGGCCAGCAAAAGAACCAAAAGGATCTGGATTTTAATATCCAGAAGCAAGAGAAACAGTGTGAAACTCAGACCTAAGCTTCAACTCCGTTTTTGAGCAAAGAGAGAACCATGAGCCCCAAACTGGGGTAAATGGCACCAATTTGTTCAGTAAGAAGAACAAATGGGAAGAGACAGCGAGGAGGCACATGCGACCTGAGATTTTAACTTATGTATAAAAGGGAGGTAAAAAATAAGCCCAGTGGTGTTAGGTCACTGCCTTTTTTAATAGAATCATAGACTGTTTCCATATTACAAATCTTATCAATGAGGTAGTGGGGGCTAGGAATTTGTGTGGAGCTGGAAATAGAACCCAAATCTTTTGACTGCCAAGTGCAGCCCTGTCTGGTAGAGGGAGATACCATCTCCTTTCATGCCACAGGCTGTGGAGGGAGGTTCTCCTTACTAAGCATTCTTCCCTATCCCTCTCCCTCCTTTTCTCCCTGCCTCCCTCCTCTTCTCCTCCAAAGCCTTTCTAACAAGCTCTTAGTTCCCTAAATTGCAGAACAAAGCCAGCTTCCTGCTAACCCCTTTGGAATTCAATTACAGACATACTCAAATGTGTTCCCTGCTCCAGCACCCTCAGCACTAAATAGCATATAAGCACTTTTGCAGGGCTTAATGTATACTTGTTGAAAAATGTACATTATTTTTCATTGACTTTAAATTGGACAAATGCTTATTGAAAAGAATAAAGTGAATTGGTGTTGGAGAGAGCATTAAAAAGAGAGAGAGAAAGAGAAGAGCCAATAAAAACATGTGGTTTCTAAATGTAGATCCACTAATTTCTCTTTGTGGCAGTCATTTGGTCTATATTGTTTGAATGCACTAGGAGACATTGTACATATTAATGAAATTAGGTTTGTTAAGCTTGTTTGCTAGAGATGTAAGCCCTAGTAAAAAAACTTCAACTTTGAGATCTGACAGTCTCAGGTCTGCCACTTACTAGCTGTGTGATCTTGAACAAGGAATTTTGCCTCTTTTGAGCATCAGTTTTCTCTTCTGTAAGACGAGAGAAATAATACCTAGCCTAGTGTGGTTGTTATGAAAATTATATGAGATGATGTATTTATGCATCCTACAAAGTCTCTGACACATAGTAGTTGATGAATCACTCTTAGTTCTATTTTCAAGTAAGTAAAGCTGCTGATCTCATAGCCCATATTTTTATAAAAATGTACTTTCCTCCTTGGTAATTGTGATTCTGCTGTCTTCTGTCTACTTCTTGGGACTCTGGTGCCGAGAACCTTTCTGACCCCTTCCTGCCTGCCCCATGGCTACGCTCAGAGAGTAGAGACTTCGCCTATTTTGTCCACTGCTCTAGACTCACTACCAGGTGCTCAATAAGTATTTGAGGTGTATATGTAAAAGAAAGAATGAATCAGCCAATTACTGCTGGGGTAGGACTTTCAGGAAACCATATGTCCCGAGATGTTTTGGCTTCCAAGGCTCATAGGGACCCTGCCTCTCATTAGATTGGTCTCAGGAATTCTCTCCTTTGTGTTGGGTACAGATGGGCCTCCCCTTTATGCCTTTGATAACAGGAATGCTGCAATAATAAGAGAACAAACAAAGGAGGCCAATGCCTTCAGAGGAGTGCCCTTTTCACTGGAATTCCATTAACACTCTCAAATGGGTGAGCTTGAATTTCCCACAAAACAGCCTTATTTTCCAAAGGTGAGTGGCTCATCTGAGAAATTGTTTCAATCATCTTTTAGCCCTGTGTTGAAAGTTCTTTAAAATTAGTATTGCTATTGGTATTTCAATGGAGGTGGAGGTTGAAGAAGAATTGTCATTTTTCAAAGCCTTCTAGGCCTACAAGTGATCACAAAGAGCTAAAGAATACTTTAGTCAAAGTAAATGGCAATAATAAATAGCACTTCAGCCATAATCACAATTGCTAATTCACCTTATATTTGTTGTTTGCTTATTATGTGAAATACTTTACGTACATTTTAATCTAATCAGCACAATTCCAACGAAGTCTTTATTATGATTTCCCCCATACATATAAGGAAACTGAGGCTCTGGGAAGCTGAGATGACATCCTTTAAGTTCATGCTATTGAATACATGCCCAAGTCAGAAATCAAACCCAGATGATGCCAAATCTAAGTCTTCCTTGATATTTTAGATCCAAACTGAGAGCTAATCTGATAGACCAGCTGATGTCAACTCTTAGAGTTTATCTATACAAGTCCTTTTTTTTTTTTTTTTTTTAAATCTAGACCAGTGTTTTTATTTTGTGTTCTGTGGAATCTTAGGTCTGTGGAGGTGCCTTAGGGTCTGCGTAGGTGTGAGAGATCAGGGAAGAGCCTGAGTAACTGGTTACCATGACCCCCACTCCCATTTCAAAATAACTGTGCTTTTTTTAGATTTGGGGATTTCCAAGTTACGTAAATTGCAGAAGAAAACCAGCTTCCAGATATGATTTCATATGAAATAAAAAATCTGCTGGCATTTTTTAAAGAATACTACTCCAGGCCGGGCACAGTAGCTCACACCTGTAATCCCAGCACTTTGTGAAGCTAAGGTGGGCAGACCACTTGAGGTCAGGAGTTTGAGACCATCCTGGTCAACATGGTGAAACCTCATCTCTACTAAAAATACAAAAATTAGCCAGGAGAGGTGGTGGGCACCTGTAATCCCAGCTACATGGGAGGCTGAGGCAGGAGAATCTCTTGAACCTGGGAGGCAGAGGGTGAAGTGAACCAAGATTGTGCCACTGCACTCCAGCCTGGGCAACATAGTAAGACTCTGTCTCAAACAAAACAAAACAAAACAAACAAAAAACACTACACTAAGAAGAGGTTGAGCCACATCAAAGAGGTCTTAGCTCCTTGTCTAGGCCAGTTGTCCGGAACCGGTACAGTTTGCATAATGTCCTTCAAGCAAATAGGCACCAAGAGACAGAACAGTTGAAAAACACATGAGTATGGGCTTGGATTAGAATAGAGACAATGCAGTCCAGTGCAGAGGTCACAAAAGCAATGAGCACTATCACCAACAAATCACTCATGAACCTGTTCTCCACTTTCAAGCAGGGATGTTACAAGAACCCCCACTGGCCAATTTGTCCACAGTAAGTTTAGCTCAGAGCCTAATCCAGGTGGGCTTTCAGTTGGCTGTCCTTGTCACACATGCCATTTTTGAGAGCAGCAGCATGGATGGGCAGTGTCATGGCAGCTAGTCTGTGGGCCACTGGTTCCCACTCACCAAAACCCCCCTACTTTCTGTCTTGGGCACTGGGTCCCTGCTCTGCTCACCCACTGTGTATTAAGCTCACACTTCACTTTCCTTGTCCCCAAGGAGCTTATGGTTCGGTAGGAAGAAATGGATGTACAAGCAAAAACAAAGCTTAATGGAGAAGCTGAGGAAGCAAAGAAAAATGACAAGTGAGAGGGGACTTGAAGGATTAATGAATTTATCTAGTGGAGAAAGAATGAGGGATCTTTCTGTTAGATTGTCCAAAACTTGGAGGTGTGAAAGATTATGGGGCAATTATCCTGTATGGCTGTGGCTAAGAGAAATGGTGCTGTTTTTTGTGTTCCTCTGTTCCCACTGTTTGCTGTTACTCAATCATCTGTGCTTTATACCCCAATCTGCTGCTGCACATGTCATCTGCCTAACTCAGAATCCAATGAATAGATTTCAACTTAAACCCCCTTTCAGGAGTTACTAACATGCATTTATCTGAAGTGACTGTCTTCCTTTGTTGTACTGGAAATTTTTGGTAAGCTAGAACTGTGCCTATGTGTTAATTACCAGAGAATGAATGAATGATAGAAGACATAGTTGTGAAGAGGGGATAAGTTCAGATATGGTGGCCTTGGTTTTGGACTTCATCCTGAGAGCAACAGGACTCCTCTGAACTTACTAAAGAAGGGAAATTACATGATCTGATTTGTACAGAAAAAAGATAATTGGTACCAGTGTGATAACTTGATTACAGGGTTTCAGGGAGGTTGCAATGAAATAATGGATGGATGTGAAAATGCTTTTCTAAACTGTAAAGTGCTGATCCAAATGGAGGGTATAACTACTACATCTTATTTTTCGAAGCCTACAGTTCAGAATTAGTATTTCAGTGAGTAAATCTTCCCACCTTAACAATTTCTAATTCTAATTCAGCTGGTAATTTAATGGTTAATTCCTCTTTCCATTTTCTCTTATTACAGAGTGAATGCAGGTAAACGGATCTTAGTTACAGACCTGGCCTCTCTTTGCATTTCAATGGGTTCCCAAGTGGAACTGCCAGATTCCAATGTGCTATGAAAATGGGCAGCAGACCAACAAAATCTGTCCTCATCAAAAATTCAGAAAAATAAAATTAAAAATGTAAAGCTGCACATTCAAAGGAATCCAGCCTGACCCCCTTGTATTTTTATGTATGCAAAATGTATTTTTTTGCACCTGCAAGCACAGTCCCTATAAGCCAACTATAGCCTCTCAATTGCCAAGGCTTTTTAAAAAAATCTGCCTTTCAAATTCATCCCAGAAACTCAGTAATGAAACAAGGATGAGGTAGAGGGCTGCCTACAACTATTTATAGGAATATTGGGGGAGATAATTGCTATCTTGTGATTTGTTCTGCAATACCTCTGCTTGGCAGAAATATGTATGCTGCACATCAGAGATTGAAGGGAATCCTTAAAGATGGTGAATTACTTGAACTTCTGATGATGGAAACTTGAATACTTTCCTGTTCCTCCACCTGTTTTTTAAATTACGTAGTCTGTGTAAGATGCTATAGAAATTTAAAATTCATGCATACATGCATGCATGCATGCATTTATTCATTCATCCTTCATCTAAAATCTTGTAGAATTAAACCTGCTATGTTTCAGGCTCTGTGCTAGGCTCTGGAGGGACCACAGAACTGATCCCTGTTCTCCAGATCTTCCAGTTGAATATGAAAGACATCCAGCTAATGATTATTAAAATAATTAATTACAATTATAAGAGCTTTGGGAGAAAATACTATGTTCCACTAGAACGGAAGCTCCTTGAGGGCAGGTTTTTGTCTGTTTTGTTCCTGCTGAATCCACAGTTGTTAGAACAATCTTGGCGTGTGTTTTTGCATGAATTTTGAAACATAGGGTACACATCAAATCGTAAATAGGGCCCTCACATAATTGGTGAAGTCTAGAAAAGTGGACTTCCCCAGGGAAGTGATATTTAAGCTGAGACTAGGAATAAATTGGTTAAGGGTGGGCATGGTAAGTGGCAGGGATAAAGAAACTGTGCCCTCAGACACCGAGAGAAGGCTGGGGTCCTGAAGAAGTGTGTCCTGGGTCTTAAAGGACTGGTTCCTGGGAAGGATTTGGATGTTGATGGATGCCTTCATTCAATAAAGGCTGTAGACACACTTAAGTTTCAGAAGAGCATAGTAGTGCAGGATTTTTTTTTTCTGTTATACCAATGAATGAATGAATGCTTGCTTGCTGCCTACTATGTGCCAGGAAGAAAGGGGGTGTCATTGATAAAGCCACAAAAACCCTATAGCAAGGTGGTCTCATTTAGTGGCTTTGCAGAAGCAGCAATGGCTCCTGAAGACACAGACCTTGCTATCACTTAGCTGTGTGGCCCTGAGAGAATCACCTAAGCTCTCTGAATTAAATGTATGTAATGCATCAAGCCCAATGGTTCTCTCACAGTGAATGCTGCCTCAATTCTCTCATCTGCATTTATTCCTTCAACAAACATTTGCATGCCTAGTAGACCTGCCTCTAGGCTAAGTAATAAGGACCCTGTAATGAATTGAGATGCTAAGAAAAACTACTTGCCTCATCTCCTCACTTCAGGTAGCTTCTTTTGATGATCAAATAATAATTTTGCATGAAATTGTTTTGTAAATTGGAAAGTACTTTATTAACATGAGTTGTTTTTAACTCTATAAACTTGCCAATTTATTGATCCTCATCTTCAGGCATTTACTTGCAAAATTACAAGTGAAATCACTGTGGGGCTGGTCAAATAAAGCTATAAAAGTTTTAGTAGCACTTATTTGCATTCTTATTATTAAGTTCCAGGCACTATCCTAAGGGCTTTACGTACATTAACTCATTTAGACCTCACCACACTCCTATGAGGAAACTGACACCCAGAAAGATTAAAACACTCACCCCAAGTTGTAGAATGGGAAGCAGCAGGTTCAGATTTGAACCCTGGCTCTCTGCCTCCACACTACATGCTCGTAACCACTATACTACATAACACATAGCACCAAGACTGGATTTTTATTTCTTTGTGAACTTAATCATTGCTTGCTACCCTACTTTCCCTCTCACAGACTAAATTGCATGTTTCATGCAAGAGAATTGAGACCATGTTGATTTTACCCATCATGCCTAGAATAGTGCCTGGCACATAATATGTGCTCAGTAAATCAATGTTGAGTGAATGCTTTCTGGCAGCTTAAGGACACTAATAGATGCAACCAGACTGTCTTCAGGCTAAAGGGAAACAGAACCATATCTCTGAAAAGGCTTAAGATGGTAAGGGAGAGACAGGAGTATAGTCACCAGTAATTTCAGACCAGTGAGGGGACAGTATACAGAAAGAGGTAAAGTTCCCTGCCTAAATTCATTCTGATGATCTAGTTTGAAATAAGGACTTGATTAAATGGAATAGTGGTTTCAGTCACCTAGTTCTCTGAGGCCATGACATTGATAGTGATGACCTTTGAGAGACTGGGATTCCTTGGTCCCATGCTCATGTACTGCAGCTTGTGCAGCTTGGACTCATTTGGCCCGTCCATAGGCTGAACTTCTTAGGACTGCTTGGTACCAGACTGTATACTTTCCAAGTGCATTTGTGTTACTTACTCCTTAAAACCATCCTGTTAAGTCCTGATCACTCTCCTCATTTAACAGCCAAGGAAACTTGGACTCAGAGAGGTGAGAATGATTGACTCAAGGTCACAGAGCTGGTCATGGGGTTGCAGTTGGGCCTCGGACTTCTGACTTCAACGCCCATCATCTTGACTTTTCATGCTGCTGAATCTTTGGTAGTAACAGTTTTATTCCCCAAACATCTTCATTTCCCTGCAGATGATCCGTGATTTCCCTGTAGTCAGAATTGTTCTTGTACCAGAAGATTTAGAAGAAATGACCCGTGCATAGCCCGCGGTCTTCTTCCTTACTCACAGTTGACATGGCTATGGTTACATTTCCCCCAGTGTGATAGTTTTCCATCAGAAGACAAGCCAGCTGCCACCTCCCAACAAGCCCTTTAAGTAAAGGTGACAAAACACTGCTTCTCTCCAGGTGTTTGCACCTCTCTCTGGGACAGGCCCTATGTGGCCTGTGCCTCTGGAAGAGGCAGTCCTGCTGCCCTTGCTGAAGTCTCTGTGTGGGTTTTTTAAGGTAAACACTAGTTGATCTTCCTTTTTAAAATAAATTATTAATTAGAAATTTTACTTTAATAAGAGAAGTTATTAAAAGCTGCAGGAACCCTATTCTTTTAATTCAATTTCCAAGTGGACTCCTTAACAAGGTAACAAAGACACTCACCAGAGCCTTCAGTGTGTGGAGTGGATGTGGAGTCACATGCTGTGACGTGAGTCTTTTCCCTTCCCCCAGCCTCAGGTTCCTGTTGGAAAAATTTTAGTCTCTCCTCTATGCAGTTCCCAGAGGTTTTTTCTTTAAAACCACGTTCACAAGACCAGTGGCCTGGGGGTGCCCATGGTGCATATCTCTGATTGCAAGCTGCTGACCTTCACAGGCAAGACCTTGACCTTGGGATCTAGGCCCCAACTTATGCTCTTGTCCTATTCCACACTCAACACACTCAGTGCCCCACACTTCCTTCCATTTTCCTAATGTGCTATGCTTTTTCACCTCCCGTGTCCTCTTCCTGTCTTGTCTTTCCTTTTTCTCTCCTTTGAAACACCTAATCACCTCCTCTCCTCCTCCAGAGTCCAGCTTACACGTCACTTCCTCTGGAAACCTTTTTTTACTCTCCCAGGAAAAGTTGATGGGTGTGTGTGTGTGTGTGTGTGTGTGTGTGTGTGTGTGTGTGAGAGAGAGAAGATGCAGGGAGGGAGGGAGGAAGAGAGAGAGTTAAGCCAGGATATGGATGGAGGTGGGGGGCATTCCAGGTAGAGAGAACAGCAAATGCAAAGGGAAAAGGTTTGGTGATTGAGGGATTGAGAGAAGGCCAGTGTTCTTGGAATATAGTGAGAGTGGTGAAAGATGAGTCTCTAGACTTAGGGCCCTGGGGCTTGGGGCAGGGGGATGCCCAGCATTCTGACTTTTATTCTAAATATTGTAGGAAGATTTTGAGAGGCTTCATTACATTCTATTTAATTCTCCTGCTCTAGGACTATGTTTCTCTTCCCTGCTACACTGTGAACTCCTTGATGGCAGCACCATTCCTTTAAGCCTGCATGCCTTACTCTGTCACAGCGTGGGTGATTTCTAAATGTACAGTTCATAGACACTAGGAAGGGAGGGAGGGAGATGTTAATGAGTTGGTTTTATTTTCAAACCCAAGCCTGCTAGAAGTTGCTTATAACCCTTCTCATTTTTTCCAGTTCGTATTTTAATATCCTTCCACCTTATTGGAGGTTTGGCAGACAGAGTTTATGGAAGAAGCATATTTTCATATATTGTAGTTTATGTTTATTATATGTATATATTCTCATTATTTTATGTGCAAAGAGGGTTTCTTATGTGGTACTCTTTAGGGAGATAATATGCAAAGAGATCTTCTATTTCATTTTTACTAACACTACTGCAGTTT
This sequence comes from Homo sapiens, assembly GCF_000001405.40. Taxonomy (NCBI): domain Eukaryota; kingdom Metazoa; phylum Chordata; class Mammalia; order Primates; family Hominidae; genus Homo; species Homo sapiens. Next base: position 57,197,926 of record NC_000001.11, on the reverse strand, counting down.
GCTAAATCATCACCATCAAACCATACTTTAATTTAATCTACTTTATTGCCTTCCAAAGCATTTCCTATGAGCAAGATTACATTCCCTGGGTTTTAAAAATAACTGACTCTAAAACATGCAAGTGAAATTAAACAAATGTTTTGTCTTCTTCAACCTTTTTGTGTCTTTGTGTCTGTCTGCCATGTGTGAATAATGGAACTTACTGACTTGGGGTGAGGAGAAGAAGAACATATTCAAAGGGGATGTAAAACCATGTGCTCTCCTGAGTAGTCCGTGGATTTGGAATTAGATGAATCTGGCACTAAAATCTGGCTCTACTGCTATTTAGCTGCGAGACCTTGGGCAAATTACTTAATATTTCAAAGCTTCGGTTTCTTCATTTGTAAGATGAGAATAATTGTACCTAGTTCATGTTGTGGCTTTAATGTCAGTTTTTAAAAAGAAAATATATAAAGTGCTTCACGAAGTTCTAGTACATAGCAGGAGCTAAATAAACAACAGCTGTTGTTCATAGTTAAAATGCTGCATTTCATCATGTGGTTTCGGTCAAGTTTTTGAACTTTCTTTCTTTTTTTTTTTTTTTGAGATGAAGTCTCTCTCTGTCACCTAGACTGGAGTGCAGTGGCACTATTTTGCCTTATAGCAACCTCTACCTCCTGGGTTCAAGCGATTCTTGTGCCTCAACCTCCTGAGTAACTGGGATTACAGACACGTGCCACCATGCCTGGCTAATTTTTGTGTTTTTGTTTTTTTAGTAGAGATGGGGTTTCACCATGTTGGCCAGGCTGGTCTTGAACTCCTGACCTCAAGTGATCTGCCCGCCTCAGCCTCCCAAAGTGTTGGGATTACAGGCGTTAGCCACGGCGCCTGGCCAAGTTATCGAACTTTCTGTGCCTCTGTATCCTCATCTCTAAAGTGGGAATTTTGATGGCAATCTGCCTAATAGGTTTGCTGTGTGGATCAAATGGACCCACAAAGTGCTTAGGAAGTACCTGATGTATGGTAAATCTTCAGGAAACATTGACCTCTATTATTACTAATCTCAGTTATTATCATGTATAGTTGTCCCTTGCTTTCAAACGCCAATTAAAAGTGAATTTTCAAACTACATAAAGGTTAAGTTTTGAATTGCACAAGCAAAAAGGACTGTATTGGCATCACTGATTCTTCACTTATTATCGTATACCTCCAAGTGATAAATATTTTTAATTTCTGATTTATGTTAACAATTGACTTTGCTGTGGCAACTGTAATATTCTGGAGTCTCCATTGCCACTTAGTGTGGTTGACCCCTTTGAAAGGTGCACAGTGACTCAAGTGACAAAAATTACCTTAATTAAACAGGATTGCCTACACCCGTGTTGGGCTAAGACCAAGAATTATTAAAGCCCTTTCTTTAGCCAAAGCCTATTATGCTGTCTGGGACTTCAATAAATGGTCAAATCATGTTTGCTAATCTTCCTGGTTTGCCAGGAGCCCACCTGCCTCCCACACTCACTGCCAGGTCATCTCCTGCTACATGATGGACAAGGAAAGAAAAGAGAGATTTGCCAAGAAAGTGCCTTGGCAGCCTCATGTCCAGCTCTAGGTATTGTACTATGGTGAGGATGGCTACACTGAGCTAACGTAGATAAAACTGGCTCCACCTTCAACAGAGAGTACTTGCTCATGTGCCAGAAATCCTTTCTTAAAAACAGCTTTATGCAGGTAAAATTGATAAGCAATGAATTGTACATATTTAAAGTCTACATTTTGAGACATCCTAACTCAAATTTATGTGTATACCTATCAAACCATTACCACAATCAAGGTTACAAAACATCCATCACTTCCAAAACATTCCTTGGCCCTTCTTCATCCCACTCTCCCACCCCTTCCTCCTACTCCCCATCACCACCCCATCCTCACAGCACTGACTGCTTTCTGTTGCTTTACATGTTTTCATTCTCCACAATTTATCTATAAATTCATACATGTACTATTTTTTCTCTGGCTTATTTGAGTTTGCATAATTATCTTTTTAAGGAAAATTTGAAGCCACACTGCCTACCTACAAAGCTGGGCACTTAGACTACTTCTAGTAATAGCCACCAATTGTCAAGTTGGTGAGCTACTTACAGGGATTCCATGAATGCATCTCTTTAAATTTGCACAACAATTCTCTTCTTTAATGCCATTTCATGGCCCAGGAAACTGAAGCTGAGGCATAGTGGCCCAAAGTCACACAATTAGGAGATGCTTTAATGAAGGCTGGTCTGACTTAGAGCATGTGTTCTTCCCACCTGGCTAGTGTCTGGAAGCAATTTAGGATCCGGTTAGGAGCCTGACTGATTTTAGAGAGAACTGGGTTCAGCCCTCAGCTGCAGCATCTCAGTAATGAGAGCTTGCACAAGCTACTTAACTGTTTTCCAGCTTAGCTTTCCTCACTGTAAAATGGGAATATGATGGGAAAAGGCCAGCATATTCTTAAAATAAATAAGAGAGTGTATTTAAATGCTCAGCCTTGTATATCTGAAGTATTCCATGAAAGTTATGTATCTTTATTGTTAAAGTAATTTGGTTCCTCAAATATATGTTAAGTGAAGGCAGAAAATGTCCTCTTTAGTATTGAACAGACTCCCTTGTATTAAGGAGGGTGAAAGCAACAGAAAGAGGACAGGAAATCATGTTGAACCTTATATTGCTGTGTTAGCCCAGTGGATCATTGCCTGACTTCTACTAGATTCCATAAACGTTTGATGAATACATGATGGATGGATGAAGGAATAAGAGTGCTATGTCAGCAGTAGCACCAGCATGATTCAGAGAGATAGGGAAGCCCAAATCAGGCAAGAGTATATTATGCTCACACATCCTATTGAAGGTAGAACTTGGAAACTCATTTTCCATTCATTAATCATTTTCTGTCCATTTCCCTAAGACCCAAGACCCAAAGTTATTACACTTTCCGCTGTTACTAGTTAGCATATATAAAATGGGCATGTGGATGAGAATGAGCCTCTTGTCCCTCCATCTGTCTATAAACAAAGCCTCAGGATGCTGTGTTGGTTGCATTCTCGTGTCTGATTGCTGTGGCCAGCAATGGCTGTGGCTGTGTTTCATGCTTTCCTGAGTACTGATTGGAGATGCGCTTTGAGGACTGGCTGGAAATGTGCTTCTCCATGCCTCCCATGGAACCAGGTTGTCTGCATGGCACACAACTGTCACTAGCACTCAGGCTAGTGGGTTTCAGATGGTAGGAGAATTTTAATTTGTCACTGAGAGTTGGGGATGTGCAAAGGCGGCTAGCTGAGTGAAAGAATTTTATACACCTCAGGTGTTAATGGATTTTGTTTCTTAACCAAGACTCAGAAAGGGAAAGGGCTTTTCCACGTGATATAGTATGTTGGAGGAAGAACTTTATCTGGCCCACTTGTTGTGGGACTGCTCTTTTCTTTTGCAGCAATCATCAAACTCTTTTATTTTATCACTGTCTTTGAAGCATCAGGAAAAGCATCTAATATTAAAGTATTTAGGACTTACTGAGTGCTTACCACGTGCCAAGGGCTGTTCTCAGCACCTTACGTGAAATCACTCAGGCCTCACTAAACAGGAACATCCATTAAAAAGACAGACAGACTTGTCCCAAACTCAGGTGCGTGGCCAGCTCTGAGAAGCATTTCCACATTTGTTGGCAGACAAGTGCAAAGGGAAGATAAAAGAAAAAAACACAATAGAAAACAGCCGTAATGGTCAGTTACTCTGGGTGTGGGGTTCAGCAATCTCTTCTTTAACAAGCCCTCCAGATGATTCTAATGCACACTCAAGTTTGAGAACCACTGCTCCAAAGTAACCTCCCTGTGGGCCCTGCTCTTGTTCCCAGATATTGAGCTAGGACAAACATTGATTTGAACACTGTCTCAGGTGCCCAGCACTGCCCCATAACACCAAATTCTGTTCAGTCCTTCCTATCACAGGATAACCCTGTGAACTAAGAATCACTGTTATACCCATTTTGCAGATAAGGAAATGGAGGTATAGACAGGTTAAGTAACTTGGCTAAGGCCATATCACTAATAACTGCTGGATCCAGGATTTGAACCAGAGTCTGGCTTAAGTGACCACGTTCTTATGCTATGCTGTGGTGTTTCTCATTCTAATGGAATTTGTTTGTGAAAACTCATTAATTACCTAATTAGTTAAAAGTGGAAATTTGGAAATATTTCTAAAAACCAATAGAAAAAGTTGATTGGTGCTTTAAAAAATACATATGCATGGCTCAAGCCTACAATGCCAGCACTTTGGAAGCCGACGCAGGCGGATCACGAGGTCAGGAGATCGAGACCATCCTGGCTAACATGGTGAAACCCCGTCTCTACTAAAAGTACAAAAAATTAGCTGGGCATAGTGGCGGGCGCCTGCAGTCCCAGCTACTCGGGAGGCTGAGGCAGGAGAATGGCGTGAACCCGGGAGGTGGAGCTTGTAGTGAGCCGAGATCGCGCCACTGCACTCCAGCCTGGGTGACAGAGCGAGACTCTGTCTCAAAAAAAAAAAAAAAAAAAAAAACATATGCTACGGATGAATCTGGAAGGCATTACGTAAGTGAAATAAGCCAGGCAGAAAAAGACCAGTACTGTATGAGTCCACTGATATGTGGGATCTAAAGAAGTCAAACTCATAGAGGCAGAGAGCAGAGTGGTGGTTACCAGGGACCGGGTGGGGTGGGTGGTGGAGAGGGTTGGGGAGATGTTGGTCAAGGGCACAGAATTTCAGTTAGACAGGAGGAAGAAGTTCAGGACATCTCTTTTACAACATGGTGACTGTAGTTAATAACACTGTGTTCTTGGAAATTGCCAAGAGTAGAGTTTAAGTGTTCTTGCCACACACACAAAAAGATAAACACAAGAGGTAATACGTATGTTGTTTAGCTTGATTTAGCCATTCCACAATGTATACATATTTCAAAACATCATGTTGTACACTGTAAATATATATAACTTTGATCTGTCAATTAAAATGAATTTTAAAAAATTAAAAAAGAAATGTTCTAGAATTAGATTGCAATGGTGGTTGTACAACCTTATGAGTATACTAAGAAACACTGAATTGCACACTTTAAAATGATGAATTTCATGATATGTGATTTAAAACCTCAATTAAAAAAATACACATAATAATGAAATTCTGTGATTTTTATCAAGGCAGGGCTGACCTGCCCACCTGCATGTCATCGATGTTGCTGTGCCTCTTGCTGGAAGAGGATAGGAAGGTACCCAGTGAAAGGCTGCCATGGTGCAGGTAGAGAACACAGAAGGGAGATTGCAGTACTATAATAAGAAAGAAAAATGGCCAAATCAGAGTAAGGATGTTGCTGATGGTGATGGTGATGGTTATGGTAACAGCAGTTCACCCTTGACTGAACCCTTACAGTGCTCCTTTCACTGTTCTCAATGCTTTCCTTGTGTTAACTCAATTAATCCACTTTCATGGATGAGTAACCTGAGGCCTAGGAAGGTTGAGTCATTTACCCAAAGGCATACATCTAGTAAGTGGAAGGGCTGGGATTTGTATAGATGCAGTGCTCATATTTTAGCCCCATCACTCTTTTTTTTTTTTTTTCCGCTTTTGAGATGGAGTCTCACTTGCTCTGTCACCCGGGCTGGAGTGTAGTGCTGCTCTCTCAGCTCACTGCAGCCTCTGCCTTGTGGATTCAAGTGATTCTCCTGACTCAGCCTCCCAAGTACCTGGGACTACAGGTGCCCACCAGAATGCCTGGCTGTTTTTTGTATTTTTAGTAGAGACAGAGTTTTACCATGTTGGCAAGGCTAGTCTCAAACTCCTGACCTCAAGTGATCTGCCTGCCTCGGCTTCCCAAAGTGCTGGGGTTAAGGTGTGAGCCATCGTGCCCAGCCTTAGCCACACTACTCTTAACCACTGTGCTGCTTGTGTGACCCTAAGAGCAGCGATTATATTTGTGGTATTAGCTCGTGCCATGCTGCTGTTATTACGGTATGGCCCTCTGTTCAATTTCACATCCATCCTATTCTTATCTTTCTCAACCCTGGGAGATGAATAGGGGTAGGTATTATCATCTACATACTGTGATTAGGATTTTGGGACTCAGGGACCCAGGAAGAGTGAGTCACTACCCCATGAGGATCAAAAGTCTGTCTCCCTACTCCATACCAGTCAGTGGTCCAGACACCATGGTATATGATAAGCTTTTCCAGGTGTGCTCCAACGTTTTGTTCAAGATGGAAAATTAATTTTCTACCCTGAGGCACCACTGTTTTTGGAGGTGTCTGTGGCACAGAACTTTGAGTACAGCCCATTGAAGGATGAGTTGTAGAACACTGTTAAACTTTCTATTTGCAAGGAGGGAAAGGGGAGCGGGGATATAGTTGAGCCATCAACAGAGGAGGAGAACATGGTCTTGGAGCTTTGCTTTGACAGAATCTAAGAGGCCATAGTCATGGTGGTCCTCAAGAAATGAGACAGTGGTAAAGGGAAGGCTGGTGATCAGCAAGACCCAATATAGACTGTGTTTGGGTGTAATTATTGCTGATTTGTTTTGAGTGGTTAAGTCCATTGAAATATCCCCTACAAATTCTACCCTCTGAAAATGTGTCACATGCACCCTACTGTGAGGCCTCTCAGGTGTGGGCGTCTCCATATCTCAGAGGAAGAAACTTTGGCCAGGAGGATAATAACTTGAAGAAATACAAATCACAAAGTAGAGAAGCCAGGATGAAGTCCCTAATGAAGAACACCTATTTGCAAGTTCCTCTCTCATTAGCTTGTATTTACCATCACTCATGATTCACAGTACTTTTTATTGTTATGTCAGCAAACAACTCACCAGATAGATACGTGTGCACCATTTCACTTTATGCTGTCATGAATCCTGTGAGGCAGTATAGCTGACATTAATAGCTGGGTTTTTCAGGTAAAGAGACTAAAATTCAGGTAAGTTATGGGACTTTACCTCTGGCAAATAAGTACTTATCTATGGACTTGAAATCTCATCTTTAGATCAGAAGTCCTTTGTACCAAAACCACTTGTAAGTCTGAAGTATTCCTAAATCTGCACTTTAGAGGATTAAATTACTGGAGCCCCTCGGTCAACAGTGTAGCTCATCACCTGTCGAGAACCCCAGCAGAGTCCAACTCTGAGTGCATGGAGTTGCCTCTTGGTACTGCCTTTGGGATGATCTCTGAGTGGTGGTGGTGGTGCGGGGGATGCTGCATTCCTCTGTGCATTTCATCTTAGATGCATTTGATGTGGGCAATAAAGACGTGTGGAAGTGGTTGACTTTTGCATACTGGGGAAAGGTGGGAATAGGCATTTTCCTGAAGACAGAGTAGACTCTGGAGACAGCAGATCTTCCTGATATTCACCTGAACAGGCTGGAGCTTTGTCTTGAGAAGAAGGTGGTCTTAAAGTCTTGAAAACCTGGATTCTGATCCTGGCTCTATCTCTCCCCAGCTATGTTCATCATGACCAGGTCACTTCACCTTTCTGGACCTCAGTTTTCTCATACACAGAATAGGGTTTATAAAGCCTGCTTTCACGTTTATTAGGAGGATTGAATGAGACCACCTTTATAAGGTGCCAACACTTGGCATATGTTGGTTACAGCTGATGCTGGCTTCTTCCCTACTTGCCTTTCCTGTGAACTCTCTTTTCTAAGGCAGTGCTCTCAAAGTATGGTCCCCAGACCAGCAGAACAGCCTTACGTGGAAACTGATTAGAAACTCAAATTCTGAAGTCCCCACCCCATACCTACTGAATAAAGAACTCTGGGTGTGGGGTTCAGCAATCTCTTCCTTAACAAGCCCTCCAGGTGATTCTAATGCACACTCAGGTTTGAGAACCACTACTCTAAAGTAACCTCCCTTTGGGCCCTGCTCTTGTTCCCAGATATTGAGCTGGGACAAACATTGATTTGAACACTGTGCCTCAGGTGCCCAGCACTGCCCCATAACACCAAATTCTGTTCAGTCCTAGCATCAGCTGCTGTACACTCTCAGGTATTCTGCAGGAGCTCTTGGGCCATGACAGACCCTTATGGTTGTTTTCTGTTGTGTTTTTTTTTTTTTTTCCCCTTCCCTTTGCAATTGTCTGCCAACAAATGTTGGCTTCTCAGAGCTGGCCATGTACCCGAGTTTGGGGCAAGCCTGCCTGTCTTTTTAATGGATGCTCCTGTTTACCTCCTTGGAAGGCCTGTGACCATCCATCCTGTCCTCTCTCCAGATGGTTGGTCCATAGGCCTAACCATCACCAGTAACAATGTGCTGGCAACTTTGTATCTCTAGGCTTGACATTGTGACCTGCCTGCCCTTTTACTGTCAGAGATGACAGGGGGCTCAGGAAAGCAGGTGGTAAGGGCTTGGGATAATCTATTAGGGTTAGTGATTCCTGCAAAACCATTTGCTCCAGACGAGAAATTTCCTACAAATAACTCTCTGTCTCAGCAAGCCAGGGTCTGTTATCCACTAATTATTTTTGGATTAGGGAGGGCTAACACGACTTGGCCTTGGAAGGTCAGAATAATTTAAGTAGATAACTAGGTTGCTACCTTCCCTGGGGGAAAGAAGGATCTCTAAGACCAAGGTTTCAGCAACTTTGATTGAAAGGAAACCATGTACTTTGGTTTCTCTGATAAATGTTGATAAAAGACTACATTGATACGATTTTCCAAATGTCAGCTATTATATCTTGTGGTGAAACCACTTGGATGGAGCTCCTGTAACATCAGCCGTTAAGTTATTATGGTGGAAAATCAGATTGCAAGGGGTAGGAAAAGAGGAAAGAAGAGGAAAGAGAAGGAGGTTATTTTGATCATGGAGACAAGAGGTAGCAAGGGTGTTGACTAAGGCAATGTCAAGTGGAGTCCAACAGGCCTGAATTGGAATTTCTACTCCCCACCCTTACCCCTCCTCCAAGCTATGAGACCTTAGGCAAATGACCGAACTTTTTTTTGAGATTCTGTTGCTGATTTCTCAACTGAGGGAAAATAACTCTGCCTATGGCATCATTATAAAGATTAAGTGAGAAAATTTTTTAAGATGATCTATTTTAGTAACGTGCCTGGTACACAGTAAAGATGCAACAAATTTTAGCTCTAACTATTGAAGTAGTATAGTGAGTTAATGTGGAAAGCATAGCAAAGAATCAAGTCAGGACCAAGACCCAGGTTTCTTTCTCAAGTCACTGATTAATGGAACAATTTTTGGTAATGAATAAAACAAAATGGGAGAAAACCTCAAGACCAGAAAGTGGCAAAGAGCAGTGTTGTAGATATGCTGGGAAAGCATTGGGACTTTGACTATTTTTCTGAAGATCACAGATACACACACCATATCATCTTTGATGACAGTAACAGATAAATGAGATGTGAGAATATCCCAGTGACAGCTCTTGTTTTCTCTGGGTCATTTTGAAACACTCTGCAATTAGCTGAGAGCCAAATTCTGGTCTTGCTTATTTTCATTAGGTCTCACTATATTTTCTCAGGATACTTTATTCCTCCCATTGAGCCATTTAATTTTTTTTTCCTGCCTTTTTCTGTCGATTACTCACACTGAACCACTATCACATGTCATGATGACTCAAGATGAAAATTTCCAATTCCAAGTAGAAATAGTCAATTCTTTAAAGTGGATAGGTGATCTAAATTAATTGTGAGGTGAGTTATCAATGGGACAACTTGCCTGGAGAAGCCTCAGCACTCTAATCAGGCACGGTGCAGGGGTATCCTTCAGAAAGGCCTTGGTAGAAACTGTTTCATTAATCAGTGACTCGAGAAAGAAACCTGGGCCCTTGTCCTAGACTTTATTCTTTGCTATGCCTGCCACATTAACTCACTACACTACTTCAGTAAGTTAGAGCTAGCATTTGTTGCATCTTTCCTATGTTCCAGGCACTTTACTAGTGCCTGCCTGCATGAGCAGCGGGGAGGGGATTGCTGCATCCAAAGAGGACCTCTCTCTCCTTGTGGGGTGTCTGTCTGTCTCTCTTTCTCCTCTCCTCCCTCCTTGCGGGGTCTCTCTCTCCTTGTGGGTCTTTGTGGGGGATCTCTCTTTTTGTGGGAGTCTCTCTCTCTCTCTCTCTTTCAGTGACTCAATCAGCGCTGAGACAAACTGGGATTAGCTGAATGGTTGAGAACTTACCTGCATACAAAATACTTTGAGTAGAATCCCAGCTTCACGATTTATGACACAAGTCGTTGTTGGCAAGTTTCTTAACCTCTTTTTAGCCCCAGTTTTAAAGTGTAGATAAGAACATTTATATAAAAGTGTCATGTATTTTCAAATTCTTACCTTGGAAACGTCAAAGAACAAGATAGCAAATGCAGGAGGACTTTGTCAGCCCCAAGGGAAGTGCAGTGTCAGAGCAGTAGCCACCTGCCCCAGATTTTTAGGCAGTTCTGTATTCATTTACCTATTCCAGGAGCCCATAGCACATTTACATCTTTGGTATATACACTTTCCAGAATCATACGCAAATTGCTGTGTAGACTGTGGTACTTTATAGTAAGATACTGTGCTTTTTTATACTGTACCTTGTTACATAGATGATGTGAGGAGATTTATAAAGATGTCTACATAATAAGGAATGTTGTTAGATAACTCAGATGGAAGCAAGGAAATAGGTAATAGAAAAAATCATGCAATGAGATCCTATTGGTTGTTTGGTGTGAGTTACAGATTTGGATCCGAGCTTCCTAGTGGTCAAAGGAAAAAAAGACAACAACACATTTTTAAGATTCAAGGTGTTTATAAAAAACAAATTGGCCTAGGGAATCACAGAAGGTATGTACTTCATTTGAAGTATGTGTGTGTTTTAGAATTTTATGTGCAATATGAAGTTTTAGTACTACTTTAAAAAGCAGAAACTTTACCTCCTGGTATCTTTTAGATCCCATCTTTTTGGGGGGACAATAACCATAAAAAATTGACAGTCCAGTCAATTGACAAAATAGAAATGACAAAAATTGACAAAATAGAAATGAATTAGCCTGGAGCTGAGCTTCTAGGAATTTTCAAGACCTCCCCAGTTGCCAGTCTGTTATTCAGTTACAGAGCATAATTATTCCTTAAGAAATTGACACAGAATAGTTAATTTCCCAGCAAAGCATCCTAACACTCCAGACAAGCCATCACTTGGAATACAAAGTGTCTTATTCTGCTAATGAAACTTTGCTAATTATAAAATTCTTGAAGTGGGTACTGGAAGAAAAATGTTTTGCACACTTTACAAATAATATGCCTCTGTGGGGTAAATGCTGACGCGTGCATTTCAGGTTTTGGCCTTAGTTGGATATTCATAAGGGTCCCTCTTTGCGGATTATGTCAGCACAACCTCTTTATTGAATTATGGATTGGGTATTTAATCAAGGCCTGTGCCTTATTATTAGCCATGTAACATTCCATTGTTTCAATGGAAAATGGAACCTGTAAAACCTGATTCACATGAAGATCCATTGGCCCACTAATAAATAATGTTTTATAGCACACTCTGCTTTTTATATCCCTATAATCCTTATCTGCCAGAGAAGTGAGAATAAATAAGCACACCTCACACTGATCGATTGGGGATGGTGCTTGTGTCAAAGTGGTGGAGAGCTGGACACAACATGTGGGTTTTTGTGAGTTGGTTTTTCCCATACTAATCCTGGACTTGAGAGCTGGGGCTGTTTTTGGAGAAACACGGATACATATTGGAGAGAATTTACATTCTAATGTAATTGGTCAGTAAAGAGGTTTGATTTAGTTAGTAATTCTAACCACTTGGTTATACCCTAAACTTACATAGAACACGTAATAAACCATTACCTGGGCCCAACCTGCAGGGACATTGATTCACCTGGTCTGAGTGGTCCCAGGTGGTATTGATATACAGGCAAGACTGAGGATCCCTAATCTCTGCTCTCAGGAAACCAAACAGTTAATGGACAGTGATTTCGTGGCTGTGAGCTGTGAGTCCCAACTCCACAGGAGGCTTTCTGAGTTTAAAAATTGTCCACGGTTCTGCTTCTGGAATCTCGTACTCGGGGAGGGAGTTTGTTCCGGCATTGTGGCACACAGGAAAGGTCTCAACTTGGAGTCTTTGAGATACAGTGTCCTGGTACTTCCTAGCTGTCAGACACTGGAAAACTTACCTCACTCTCTGGAAAAAAAGACCAAAAACAAAAAACCAGAAACATTATTATGAATTTGGAATTTCTTACTTCGGAGACAGCATTGTTAGTTCAGTGTCTGAGTACCACCTTCCATCTGCGCTAATACTGCTGAGTGTGAGGTGCTACCAAGAGGATGTCCCTTTTTACTTCTCAAGGCTGTTTGAAGATTTAACGGGGATTATTTCCTAAAGGGCCCTCTATGCGTGAGGTTGCCTGTGAGGTTTGTCCCATTCTTGTGTCTTGGTTGCCTAGGATTCCTGCCTCTCTCTTTTTCTCCCTCCTTCTAACTCTTGAACATCTTGCATTGTCTCTCAGACTCTGTCCCCTAAATGCTCCCTTCTCTTTGCCCAGGTATTCAAGCCAGAAGCATGTACACTTAACAATCTGCAAATTCTGTCCTCCTCTATTCTTTGCCACCATTACCAACTTGTTGTAACTGGTCTTCAGGCCTCCAGACTTTCTGTTACCTGGTGGCATCATAAGTTCCAGGAGAGAGAATGCCCAGGGTACTATGGAATAACAAAGGAAGTTCCTAACATGGTAGGGGTAGGAGTGGTGATGGGACTGTGCAGAATTGCAGAAGACTTCCCTGAAGAAATGCCATCTCAGGGAGTTCGCCTGGCACAGAGAGGGGGAAGCATGTTTGGAGCAGGGGAGGAGGATGATCAAAGACCCAGGGGTGAGCAAGAGGTTGGTGGTCTCAAGAAGATCAGGATGGCAGGATCCTGGGGTGGGTTGCAATGCCAGGACAATCTCAGGATGAGAGTCAGTGAGTTTACGAATGTTGTGATCCCTGTTTGTCCATCTCTGTGCCATGGATGCCTGCGGGGTCCATGTGCTCAGTTATATTTGTTGGATCGCTACACTCCTGGAGTTCAGTGGGTGAGAGCATAACTGGTTGAGTTGGGGAGAAGCCATCCTTGACTAGGCAGTGTTTGAAATGCATCATGAAAAAGCGTCTATGGGACTTTTATGGGCACAGGAGTGAGTGTGTATCTCTGTGTGTGTGTTGCTGTGTGGTGCCAGGCACTGAAAGCACACCCAGGAGCACAGGGTTTGTGGAGTACATGATCCAGGTGTGATTTGGTGGGATTGGAGCATAAACCATGTATGAGAGAGGAAGGCTTCAGAATAGGTGGGGAGAAATGGAAATGTCGTCACCGTGTAGAATCAGCTGGCCCAGCAGTTCTTATTTTTGGTAACCTTGCATTCTTTACTGTGAAATCTGTGATAATGAGGGTTTGCCAGGTTAAGGATTTGTGGCTTTATCCTATGGGAAGCCACAGATAGATTTTTAAACAGAGGACAGGGTTGGCACGGGAGTAGCATGATCAGGTATGCACTTCAAGATGATGTGCCAGCTGCAGAGGGGAGAAGAATGAATCTGAGAAGGGCAAGAACGGATGCAGCGTAACCACTAATCTGCTTTCTCTCCCATCTAATTAAAAGAATCCTTTTTCTCCTAAATGTATTATACACTTTGACCTGAATCAGATTATTGTAGTTTGCTCTGGCCTGAAACACCTGTGGTACACAAAGGGCTTTCACCCACATTCTTGTGGAGGGTACTAGCTTCTTTAGTACCAAGACCCTCCTGTTAACAGGGTGCCTGGATGTGGGGCAGCAGGATTTCTGTGACTCCCTTTACCTCTATTCATATAATGGGCTCTTAATTCTTTTTGGAAAAGTCGTGTTGTTGATTTCTTTAATAATGGTAAGAAAAAGTGGAGAGCAGTGGCTTTATAGCTCACCAGTTAGAAAAATTGATCTGTTATTAGCTAAGTCCCCTCCCCAACATCAATCTTGTCTACTGATATCCTCTATGTCCTTTTCTGGCTTGAGCTAATGGTGTCTCCTCCAGAAAACTTCCATGATTCTTCCTTTCCCATCCTTGTCTTCATTCACCCAGCCCTTAGTTGATCTTTTCTTATATTCTTAATTGTGGTATAGCTGTAATATGATATAGAGTACTGCCTATCTCTCCTGGAAATTGTGAGTCCTCTGAGGAGAGGAAGTTTTGTCCTCATTTTAAAAATTACTTTCCCATATAGTGGAGTGCTTGGTGCATAGGTTTATTGTTCCAGATGAGCTAATGTGTAACTGGCAAGTTATTAGGAACAACCATAGTTTGAAAGTATCATCTTGGGATTCCTGCATCCAGTTTCCTCATGGACATCTCCATCAGAATGTGACATGGGACAAGGATCAACATGCCCAGGAATGGACTCATCAACCCTCCTACCCTCTTTCAAATCACCTCCTTCCCTCTCTGTTTCATAGCCCAGGACATGGAACCACATGCATTTTCTCAACCCATAATCGTGGCAACTGTTGCTTCTTTCCTCATTCATTGCACACAATATTGCTTCTCTGCTTTCATTGTCTCTGTATTTCTCCAGTGTTCCTCCCTCTCCATCTCTACAGGGTTTTGTGTCAGTGTAACTGTCTTTACCTCCAGTAGTATCTAAGCCTTTCTCTGCCTTGTGATATGGTCTCCAACCTGAGGTCTGAAAGACTTTTCTAAAATCCAGACCCATTCACCTCACCCTTGTGTTTAGAATGCTCGGCAGTTCCCCGTCAGTTTCAGGCTCTCCATAATCAGGCCCCTCACTCCCTCTTCATTCTCTTCTGTTTGTATTCTAAAATTTCACATTTTATCATCTCAGGTTAAATACCCCCAGTGCTGTCCACAAGGACTTTCTGTGATGATGGGAATGTTCTATCATCTACGACAGAACTTCTATGTATCAGTGCTATCCAGTGTGGCAGCCACCAGCCATGCGTGCCTATTGAGCAGTTAAAATGAGGCTGGTGTGACTGAACAATCAATTTAAAATTTTTAGTTAATTATTTTAGTTAATTTAAAATTAAATAGCCATATGTACTAGTGTCTCACATATTAGACAGCACAGCCCTGGACTCTGGATATACTATTCTATCCTCTACCTCTGTACCTGGGCTCAAGGTTCTCTCTCTGAAATGCTCATTTCTGCATTCTTTCCCAAGATAATTTCAACTGGTCCTATAAGAATCATCTCAGCTGTCCCCCTGCCTCCAGAACACCTTTCCTTACCCCGAGACTGGCCTGTGCTCACCTCCACTGTGAAACTAATATACGTTTTATAGTTACATTATACTATCTCTTAACACTGTCTTTTCACTGCTAGTGCCCCCATTAGAAATTGAGGTTCTCTAGGGTAGGAGATAAGTCTTTCCTCCTGGTATCCCAAGAATACAGCACAGTTCCTGCCTAGTATGTAAACAGTAAGGGGCCTTGTGATACAATGTAGAGTGCACAGGCAGTTGTGGGCTCTAGCCCCGTATCTGCTAGTTTCCAATTCTGCAGCTTCAGCCAGATCCACCTGACTGGGCCTCAATATTTTTACCTGCACATGGAGCATTATAATTCCTTCAATGTTCAAGAGATTTATTATGAGCATTACTGATAACATACAAGTACCTGGGACACTAGTAATTGATAGCTGCTATTGTTGGGGGTTCTGTAAATGTTTGAACCTCTATTACTACAATTCCTCAAGTACTTGAGTGCCTGTCAGTGTGTTGAATACTTGACTTGCAGCTGGACGCGGTGGCTCACACCTGTAATCCCAACAATTTGGGAGGCCAAGGCGGGCAGATCACAAGGTCAGGAGATCGAGACTATCCTGGCTAACACGGTGAAACCCCGTCTCTATTAAAAATACAAAAAATCAGCTGGGCGTGGTGGCATGCACCTGTAGTCCCAGCTACTCGGGAGGCTGAGGCAGGAGTATCACTTGAACCCAGGAGGCAGAGGTTGCAGTAAGCCGAGATGGCACCACTGCACTGCAGCCTGGGTGACAGAGCGAGACTCCATCTCAAAACAAAACAAAACAAACAAAACAAAAAACTTCACTTGCAATGTAACATTTACTTTTTATGACAACCCTAATAAGGCATATCTCCATTTGATATTTAAAGTTATACTCCACAGCTAGGAAGGGGCTTAGCTGGGATTCAAATTCACATTTGCCTGTCTTCAAAGCCCTTGCCAGACTTCCTTATTCCTGCTTGCATACACATTTGTACTTAATTTTAGGCAGCAATGCACATATTCAATTAATAAAGCAAATCATAAGGGGAAATAATTTTAACACAGCCAGCAGAATTTCCTTGAGCTAGTTGATTTGGGAGATTGCATATTGCATTCCTTGTACAGTATTTCCATTCCCTGTTTGCAGTTTTTGGGTAAAGAGATAAGGAAACATGTAATCCATTCCTTCAATTAGGTTGTGTAATAGATTGTCATGGGCATTTTCAAGATAAGTGTTCGATGATAGTGTTGTGAAGTGCATCGATCAGCTGCTTCTCAGAAGTCTCATTGATTATCAGGTCTGTGTAAAGCAGACAGGCTGCTAGAATCTTACCTTTGGAGGACTTAAATTTCAGTTTTGAAGGCAACTCTTAGGACCGTCAAGTCCGAGGCCTCACTGTCCTCATTTTTACAGCAAGCCTTTCTTCTGTAGAGACTCTACTGAAACCTGGACTGTGGGACATTTTATTTACACCACTGGATTCCTTTCCCTACAGCTGCTATTTGTTTTCTGAACATCACTTCTTTTCCCTTCCACTTTTATCAAGCGTCTACTACATGCATAGCACCGGGTTACATGCTCTGGAAAGACAGTGGTCACTGAGATAGGGTCAGACATTTGGCATTTGAGCAGCGGACAGAGATAAAGATGCCCACACACATGATGGTAGCTATTAGCTGTAGTGAGTAGCATTTGCCACAAATCAGGAGCCTTACACATAGATTTATGTGGGCAAGTAGGTTTGGGCATCACCACTATGGGAAAAGAATGCACCAAGTGCTATGACCATGCCAATGAAAGAGCAAAAGAAAGGTTACTTCTTCTACAGGAGACTGGGGTAGAGGAGACAGGAGGTGTTAAGAGGAGTTGGCATTTGAACTGAATATTAAAATATGACCCTTAGTGAGCCATGCAGAGAGTAGGGCCAGCTTTTGTTTTTCCATGGGAGTAAATCTGGGTCATTACGGAAGGTTGTGGGTACTCAGGAGAAGTGTGTGTGTGTGTTTGTTGTGGGGGGGAGTCCTTTTATTTGCATTTCAGTGGAAGTGTATCTAGGAAGCTAAGTAACATATTTTGTCATTGTTATCTAGGAACAAAGCTAGTAGAAGACTATCTTAGGCCAGATGATTTCAGAGGCCCCTTAAAATTACTTCAGAAAATCTTTACCCCCCATCCGCAAGTCTTGAAACCTCTCCATCAGAGCTCTGCTTTTTTAGTTTGAAGTCTTTGCTTTCAGCAGAAAAGCAAAAAGTCCTGGGTTGCTGACACATGAAAACATTAAACATTAACAATGTGATGAGTGCAGCCATTTTAAATTTTAGAGCATATACTCCTAGGGATATAACAGAATTGGGAAGTGGTGTGATTTGAAAACTGTTACTAGCCAAAACAGTCTGCATTAAAACTATTGGAGAAAAGCAAGTTAGAAGGTCTTTGGCTGGGGGAAAGGGGAAGGTGCAGTTTAGGGGTCACAGGGCAGACTCAGTGAGGATCCCCCCTTCTCCTTTTCTGTGTCCTCTCACCTAAGGCTGGCCTTACCATTTCCAAAGCAAGTTTGCAAACAAAGTTGTTCTTGGATTCTGTAGAAAAGCAGGAGTGAAGATTTACAGCTTGGTAGGAGGATTCACACTTGAGCCAGGATGCAAACAGTGTGTGTTAACAAAGGGGGCTCTTGCAGGGTAGCCTTTATTTTTCTTTCCTTTTTTTCATCCCGGAAAAACTAGGACAAAAAGAACATAGAAAAGGAAGACTAATTCCAAACACCAGAACTAGTTTGTGAAAATTGGCATGCTATTGTAATCCTCTGGTTCACAGGTTAATATCCTAAGGATTGATGTCCACCGTCTGTTCCAATGCTACTCTTGTTTAAATAGTACTTTTCCTTATGACATGTAAAGCAATTTCAATTCAATAGCTAATCATTGTCTCAGGTGCACAAACGTGTTTCTAGTATGTATTTTTTTAAAAAAAGAATTTCACCGTTTCCCCAATGGCTTTCAAACCAGGTAGGATGGAGCATTCTAGGTGATTTATTTTGATGATTTCAGTAATAAAACCCAAGGGAAAAATTGGTTCATAGTGAATACAGCCACTTTTCAATAAATGCAGCTAAAGGCCCAAGAATGAATCTGAAATGGAGACGAGATCTGCCATTTAAATCAGGGACAGATATACAATGTGCATCTGACATAAATTCTCATTGGGTTATGTTAAGAATATGGTCTGGCAGGGAATGAAAATTAAATTGACTTCTCACCTATTGTTGTCCCTCCCTGAGCTCTGCTCCTCTAGAAGTCATTAATGGCTGCAGGTACGAAGGTTTGGATGTAGCCCTTTGGGGTTTCCCCAGTCACGGAGATGTTTAGTAGATTGCTGCTTTAGGCGTTGATCCACCATTCACCTCGCTGCTGTGCCAGAATCTCATTTAAATACAAGCAGTGGGGGCCTCTTTGAGCACCACTGCCTGGAAGAGCAGCTCTACATCATTAAATAGGGTGTGTAGACCTCTTTCCTAATCCCCCCCAAACCCCATGTGCCCATTTGCTGCATGAGTCTGAATATTGAATTTCAAGATTTCTAAATGAGGTTGAAGGTCTGTTTGACATCTGCTGATGACTCTCATGTTGAATTTCCTCAAGTAGTGGATTCCCTGAGAGTCTCCTTCCCAAATAAATACATTTTACTTCTCCTATATGAAAAGCAACCTAAGTGAGTCCATTGCTTTTAGTTAAAACCTTTAAAATATGGTATTTTGCATATCATTTTCACCTATCTTTTATTCTCCAGGAGGTGGCGATGGGGGTGGGAATTGCTATCCTTTTTTTTTAAAGCACCTAATAGCTACCACACACTATCTTAGGTGCATTATATATGTGATTGTATATTTTTTTCATTTATTTTATAATACAGATAGAAGAATAGGAAATTGAATAAAACATAAATGGTTAACCTCGGAGTAATTATAAATGAACACAGATAAAACACCTACCCACATCAAGGCATTATAACATAACCAGCAGCCTGGATTTTCCCCATGTCTCTTCCCAATCATAATTACTTCTTCCCCTCTAACAGAAACTCTCCTGTCTTTCATAATACTTCCTTGCTTTTCTCTATAGTTTTATCCATAAATAAATAAATTCATGAATAGTTTCGTTAATCAGATTTCAAATTTCATGTAAATGCTGGCACAATGCATATTCTATTTTCCTAATTTCCTTTTATACAACTTACATATCTATGAATTATCCACACTGTTCCATATATTCATAGTTCACTTATTTTTATTGTGATTTAGTAACCATTATATGAATATGCTACAATTTTAAAACTCCATTCTATAACATCTGGGTTTGAAGTTCTATGCTATGACCATTTTTTTTTTTTTTGCATATATCTTGGTGTACATAAGCTTGCAATTATGGAGGATGGAATTGCTGGGTCAGAGGAAGTATGTATATTTAGCTTTAAGTAGGGTATCTATATTTTCAGCTTTATTATATATTACCAATATTCCCAGAGTGATTATTTCCATTTCTAATCTTACAAACAGTGAGTTAATGTTGGTTCCTACCCTTATCAATACTTGGTACTTTTGAACTTTTATATGGTTTTCGCCCATGGCTATATCTGCCCCTGTAATACTGTTGTAAGGCAAATAGTCATAGCCCCATTTTACAGATGAGAAAACTATATTCTCAGGTTTTTATAAACATGCCATAAAACACACAAAACCTGAAGGGAGGACAAAGGGACAAAGTCAGTAACTGAATAGTCAAGAGACATCAAATACCAAAAGTTTACTTTATGCCTATATTGTGATTTTAGAAGAGTATAGACTCTGTGGCATCCAAAGATCTGATATAGCTTATATTTTATTGCTTTGGAGGTGAAGAACTTTTGGAAAAAGAATTCTAGAAATGGCCTGTACTTTGATCAGATTAGGAAAAGAAGGTGAAAAACCAAACCAAAACAAAATAAAAATAAGAATGATGATAATCCTCCACTTACCTTATATGGAATAGTGATTCTGCCCAGATACTGGACTGAGTAGTTTCCGTAACTTATTACTAGTGTCCTTTTCCATGGCCATGCGCTTTAGAGTTCTTGAGTGAAATAAGAGAAAAGGCAAAGACTGCTTTGGTTTGCAGAGTCATGGGAGCTTTTATTATGGCTTCAGTGCCTGGATGTCTACTACCTAATTCTATGTGGACATTGTAAATATAGGGGAGGAAAAACATCTTTTTTTCCCTCTACCCTCCTAGTTTCTCAGGTTGGAGCCTGGAAAATTAGGCTGACAAAAGACAGATTAACAAGAGAAAAGCAAATGCAAGTTTATTAACCTGTTTATCCTACACAACATGGGAGTGCTCAAAGATGACTGACTCAAAGGGGTGGTTAGAACTTGGGTGTATGTATATAACATCTTAACAAAGAACAATAAAATTTTAGAATAGTGACAAGATAAGGGAAAAGGACTGATTTTCTAGGGCAGCAAATCACAGAAAGTTAAATATATAGGGAAATTAATAGAAGGTAAGTGCTGGTTGATAAAGTCAGCTATGTAGATTCCTTTGGAGTGATCTTAGGGCTAAGTTGTCTTGGTGATGGACTTCTGTCCCTGCTGGTGGGTAGAGGGGAGGACACATTTACAAATTTATGTCCCGCTTTTAGGCAAATGTGGGTAGTCTGAGGGCTTTTTTTTTTTTTTTTTTTTATATCTGCTGCTGCTTCTTTTTTTTATCTGCTTCTTCCTTTAGCTCAAAATAATCCTTATGCCAAAGTGTTCTTTTTTGGGTGGCATTTTCTGCTATTCTCCATGGACAAAGTTCATATTAGAAAGATAGATAAACCGCTTCCTCATCCTGCCCCTGTGACCTTATTACTTGGAGATGTTTGCCCCCAGAAGGTCTCCTCTCTTCTCCAGGTGAGTTTGCTTGCAAATCTTTGCCCATAACCAGAAGGATCCAGATTTTACTAGACCTTTAGCATTCAATCCCTCCCAATGTTAGTGAAGCAAATCAGCCAAATTGTCCTAGTAATACAGATTTTACATATCATGTACCAAGAAAAGAATATAATCATCTAAAACAAGATTCAGATTATGGTGGAGGGGTTTTCGTTTAATATATGATTCAGTTTGGCTGTGTCCCCACCCAAATCTCATCTTGAATTGTAACTCCCACAATTCCCATGTGTCATGGGAGGAACCTGGTGGGAGGTGATTGAATTGTGGGGGGCGGGTCTTTCATGAGCTGTTCTCTTGATAGTGAATGAGTCTCATGAGATATGATGGTTTTAAAAACGGGGGTTTCCCTGCACAAGCCATCTTGTTGGCTGCCATGTGAGATGTGCCTTCCACCTTCCATCATGACTGTGAGGCCTCCCCAGTCAGGTGGAACTATAAGTGCAATAAACCTCTTTCAATTGTAAATTGCCCAGTCTTGGGTGTGTCTTTATCAGCAGCATGAAAACGGACTAATACAATACAGAAGGATATTCTATAACATTGGTTAATGCTGAAACTAAAATGTCATAAAGGACCACTGAGGGAAGCTGAGAATACCCCCATCCTAATATACAGCCTCTTGTTTGACCCTTGCAGCAGTCCCATGAAGTACCTCTTATTATGCCACACTATGGATGGTGTAGCTTTGCTTTAGAAAGGGTCAATAACTTAAAATTACACACCTATAATATAACAAAGTCTGCATTTGAACCCAGGTCTGTCTATGTGGTAATAAACTGCTATGCTATAATGCTTTTAACCAGAGAGAAAAAATCAAACGGGAAAATCCAGTCTACTCAGAATATCAGCCTGGAAGTACTGCCTTTCCTGAAAATGTGGCTTTACTGGGGCTGCCATTTTGATGGGTTTTTAGCAAAGCGCCCAGTACCTGGTACGCTCTGCATTGTCCAATAGCATAAGAATTCTGTTAGCAGATAGCAAGCACCTGAATCATCTGGAATTTGTACCAGAGGACTGTTATCTTTCTGAGAAAGTCTCCAAGTTTAGCCATTGTTATGCTATTTTATAGCCCTATTATTTCAGAGCAGATACGCCATGTAAATGGTTAATATTTTCCTAGTGTTCACCAAGGAGCTACATCCTATAGTTGTAATTTGGATGTAATTTTTTGTGGTTATATAAATACGGCTCTATTTGAAGTGGGTTGAATTAGAAAACTCATGAATAAATTCCTTGACATAATCAGAATTATATGGCAAAGAATTGACCTACTTTGCAGGAAGGCTCCCCCAGAGTTCCTTAGCTGATAGTATGTTAACCCAACAGAGAAATCTTCCTGCTAATAGCACTTATCAGAGAAGATTGGAACCTGTAGTTTGTCAGGTACTCAAAAAAAAAAAAAAAATTTAAAGTCTGAAATAATAAAAAAAAACCCTGCCTTTCTTTAAATTTTATTTCAACTGGAAATATAAATGTACATCCAGTTATAGATCTTTTTATCACAAGTTAGCATAAGGACTTTTCTTGACATTGGAATACAGTTTGCTAATTGGAGTGCTGCCTCTTGGTAATGAAGTGTATAAGCATAAAACATATATTCTTTGATTTCCAGTTTTGATTTCTTTAAAGTGGAGTAAGGATCTTAAAGCACTTGGAAAGTAACCAAAATGTCGCGTCCTTCTGAGTCCGTGTGCTCTGTTGGGGGAGTCATGGAGAGTAGCATTTTGTTTTAACAAGTTACCCTTTTAAAATTATTTTTAAATATTGAACTTGAACTTCATTTTTCATAGAAATAACTTCCTTTATTTCTGTACTCATGTTTCCCTGACTTACAACATACCTAACTAATTATATACTATCCCAACTAGTACAATTATCATAAACAAATTTGGGAACAGAAGTGTATGAGATTCTTAGTAAGCGTCTAACATAGGTTTTTGATTGAAACAGAAATCAAGTAGCCTTCCTGGCATTCCTGTTCGGAGTAGAGCCAGCATCAGATAGTGAGAAAGAAGAGTGGGGGTCAATCCAAAGCAGTGGTGAGCCTAACAGACCTTCTCCTGTACTTCACCTACAGAGCTGTTCAGAGGACTCAAGGCAGTAAAGTAAAGCATATAAATAAAGTGACTGGTATTTTAAAAAGTGATGAGTACAAAGCAGGATCTCAGAAAATTATAACTTAATCTGTTCTTCTTGTTTCACCCTGTCAATCCAATCAATACATTATTGTTGGATTGTTATGATTGGTTTAAATCTCTAGTTTTTCTACTAGATTATGAGCCTGCTGGGAATAAAGGGCATATTATAATCATTTTGTTCTCTTTTCTATATTGCTTAGCACCTGGTAGTCCTTCTGAAAATGCATTTAAATTTATTGCAGTCAAGGATTGGCATAACTTCTAGGGGACAGCAGGACAATCCTGGGCCAGGTCTGTATCTGGTATTGGAATGCCCAGAGCAGATATTATGGAATGGTTGTAGAGAGGGTGGGGTAAGTCATGAAATACCAATACAGATAGCAAGTCTGGAAGGCCAGTGATGGAATACTGATAGGAATTGTGGGGCAAGAAGTTCTAAATCAGACCAGTTTTCTCCAGCTCCCACTCTAGGAATTTCCTTCCTTTTGTTTCCTTCTATCCTGCTTCTAGCTAAGATCAGTTTATCAAATTTCATGTAGCTGTTTCCTGCCAGGCAAGAGGATGCTTGCAGAAGTAACCAAGCATAATTCCAATCCAGGGACTTCATAAGGGCAGTGATCATACCTTGTTCATTTTAAATATAAAAGATAAATTAGATATTTAATTGGGAAATCCCATGAAATTTCAGACTTACAAATCAAACAATTAAGAACTCCATAGCCCCCTGCAAGGAATGAAATTATTGTAATTTTTCCTTCTTGGTGAAAAAAAAAATGTACTCTCTAATTGCTGGGAACTCTGTTAATAAGAATCAAATCCTCTTTATCTAAACCATATCTAAAAGGTGAAATGCTATTTGGGCCCTATGCCAAGTAACAAAAGAAAATGTCTTATATGAAATGTTTGAGAGAAAGACCATTTTTGTTTCCCGATTAAGCTTGCCTTAATTTAAGAAAGCTCTCTAGTGCTAGCTGTAGAATGTAAAGGTTGAGTATCCCTTATCTAAAATACTTGGGACTAGCAGTGTTTCGGGTTTCAGATGTTTTTGGATTTTGGAATATTTGCATATACATAGGAGATATTTTGTGACTGGCACCCAAGTCTAAACATGAAATTTATGTTTCATATAATAACTTACACACATAGCCTGAGGATAATATTATACCATATTTTTAATAATTTTGTGCATGAAACCAAGTTTTGACTATGTTTTGACTACGACCCATCACATGAGTTCAGATGTGGAATTTTCCACTTGTGATGTCATGTTGGTGTGCAAAGAGTTTCAGATTTTGGAACATTTTGGATTAGGGATGCTCAACCTCCATTTTTCTCCCTCATCTGCTTCTTTCTCTGGCATTTAGAATCTCTTGAACTGGAAGCTGTTGCTGGCTTTAATACCATCCTTACTTGGTATTCACACTGCTTTGGGGGTAAGTAGCTGGTACCCAGGGTGTGGCACCTCTGATCACTATACCTGTGACATACAGTCCTGCTTTACTGATGCTTGGAGCTTCAGAAGAACCTTTATATTATGAAGGACTAATACTTCATAATTGTTGTCAGTGGCAACAGGTAGACTAGGCACCCAAGCATTTTACTATGGCCTTGATAGTTCAGGTTAGCAGTATGTAGTGGAAAGGGCATGGACTGGGTGATTAAATACAGGCTGAAATGTTAGCTCCATCCTTGCTGTCTATGCATGCTATAACTTGGATGTTTGACCCCTCCAAATCTCCTGTTGAAAGTTGATCCCCAGTGTTGGAGGTGGGGCCTAATGGGAGATGTTTGGGTCATGGGGCAGATTCCTTGAGAATGGCTTCATACTGTCCTTGTGGTAATGAGTTCTCATTCCATTAGTTCCCAAGAGAGCTGGTTGTTAAAAAGAGCCTGGCACCTCCCAATCCTGATCGCTTCCTTTCTTTCTCATCATGTGATCTCTGAACACGCTGGCCCTCCCTCACCTTACACCATGTGTAGAAGAAGCTCAAGGCTCTCACCAGAAAACAGATGCTGTCTATGCTTCAGTCTATCTACAGCCTGCAGAACCATGAGCCAAATAAACCTCTTTTCCTTATAAATTACCCAGCCTCAGACATTTCTTCATAGCAATGCAAATAGACTAAGACAATGCCATTTGGCCAAATCATTTCACCTTACTGAGCTTCCACTTCTTTATCACTAAGAAGAGAAACATGGTCTTCTTTCTTATGGAATTGTTTTGTAGATTAAATGAGCTAACATGAATAAAGCACCTGTGGCATGGGTTGCATTGTGCTACCCCCCAGTCCTCATTCATATGTTGAAGTCCTAACTCCCTGTACCTCAGAATGTGACCTTATTTGGAAATAGAACATTGCAAATTTAATGAGTTAAGACGAGGTCATAGTGACTTCACTATGACTGGTGTCCTCATAAATAGGTGAAATTTGGACACACAGATAGACACACAGGGAGAACATCATGAGAACTTCATGTGAAGATAATAGCAGAGATCAGGATAATGTGTCTACAAGCCAGAAGATGCCAAGATTGCCAGCTACCCATCAGAAGCTAGGGGAGAGGCATGAAACAGTGTCGCTCCCAGTCTTTAGAAGGGCCCAACCCTGCCGGCAACTTGATCTTGAACTTCTAGCCTCCAGAACCATGAGACAATACATTTCTGATGTTTTAAGCCACTCAATTCATGGTTCCTTATTACTGCAGCCCTAGCAAACTAATATACACCTGTCACTTAATTTTATTTCTTTACCTTTCTCCCACCACATAACTCCTTCTTGTTTCCTTTAAATATATTCAAATCAGCATGCTGCAGGACATAAACTGTGCAGACATAAACCTAGGTGTATAACACATCCTATTTCTGACCCTCTACGGAGAACATAGAAGAGCTGTCCTGTTTTCCTATGATATGTAATATGTATTTTTTTAATCCTCTGGGTAGTGCCTGCAGTAATCTTCTGTGCACACATCCTGCTGTGGAAGATTTGACAGTAAGAACTGCCTCATGAGGCCAACCCAAAAAGGAACAGCAGATATAAACATGTCGCCATTCTTGTCATTTTGAAACAACATTATTTAAAGTGTCCCAGATAGTTGGGAAAAGAGGAACTCTTTTCTTCTAGGCCACTTGTTTCTCCTCTAGCAGGGAAAGATCTTTGCAGGTGTTGCAGAGACAGCAGGAGTTATCAAGGAGAACAGGTTTCCTGCAAACATCCTCAGTGATTTGCATTGTACTAAGCAAACACAAACCACCTCACTTATTCATATTAATTGAGCAGTTTTAAAATTTAAAGTAGTATTCCTTTGGGGTTTGTGATCAAGGCTGTGCCCTAGTGCTTCACTGGCATCTTCTTGAATTTGGCCCTATTTGATACAGCTTTGCTTTCTGTTGATGTTACATGGAAAAACCTCCACCTGGCTAGACAATAGCACCAGTATTGCTACTGTCAGCAGCTTTATTGTAAAGAAATTCCAACTCTGGGAACTGGCAGCACTGCATCCATTGACTCTGGGGAGATTCTTCCAGCCACAGCACAAAATACAGCTTTCTCTTTTCTACCAAGCCGTATCGAACTCTTTGCCTTGATCTAAGGACCTGGGATCTCCACTCCTTCAAGTGTTCTAGGCAGCAGTGAGGGAGCCAGGACCCTGCAGAGCAAGCCACCTGCAGGTTGCAAAATTCCAGCAGAGATTGGATTTTTGAAGTATCAAAAGCCTCACACCTGTGGGTGATCTCCACGCAGATACCGCGAGCAAGAGTAGCCAACCCCTGACCCCTCCAAAACTCACATCTGTATCAGCCTTTCAGGGAAGAGAATGATCCCTTTTGTTTTCCTAGACATTTCAGGAATAAAAAGAACATAAGGTGTGCATAGGGTTGAGAGAGAAAAGGGACAATGGAGCCATATCAGAGAGCACGGACGTTGGACTCAGAGACCTGCATTCCAATCCTGCACCTGCCAAGCTTCTAGCTGGGAAACCTTCTCAAAGCCCCTGCACCTCCCTGAATCTCAGTTTCTTTATTTATAAAGCAGGTTAATAGTAAGTACCTGACAGGTCTGCTACCAGGATTATTTGCAATGTGTTTGTGAATATGCCTTGCCCTTGTGTGCCTACCTGTCACCCTCTTTTCTCTCCCTCCATCTCTTATGTGTCACATTTATTAAACACTTATTATGTGCCAAACACTTTGCAAAGTATGTAATGTTCATTAATCACATATTGCAAGCAGGCAGTGTTAAAGGAAAAAATTATTTAATGATACTTGTAAAGCATGGTAAGGGCTGGGCATGGTGGCTCACACCTGTAATCCCAGCACTTTGGAAGGCCGAGGCAGTTGGATCACTTGGGGTCAAGAGTTCGAGATCAGCCTGGCAAACATGGTGAAATCTTGTCTCTACCAAAAATGTGAAAAAATTAGCCAGGTGTGGTGGCATGCACCTGTAAGCCCAGCTACTCAGGAGGCTGAAGCAGGAGAATCGCTTGAACCTGGGATGCAGAGGTTGCAGGGAGCCGAGTTCACACCACTGCACTCCAGCCTGGGTGACAGAGTGAGACTCTGTCTTAAAAAAAAAAAAAAGAAAGAAAGAAAGAAAAAGAAAAAGGCATGGTAAGATGGTAAGGCAGACTTTACTCAGAATCATCACAGATATAAGGACAACTGCAGTGGCGTCTTGCAGTTGGGGAGAGAGATTGGGCTCGCCTTTAAATATAGCATGGGCAAGAAGGAATTTATGGCTGAGGAGCAGGGTAGGAGTCAGTTAATAGAAAATTACTAAGAGGAAACATCAGGGGAAAAGGAGACTCTGACTTAACCACCTAAAAGGATTCTTGCTGAAGACAGGCCAGGGAAGCCAGATACCACCTGGGGATGGTGGAGGATAAGGAGCCTGATTAGTTATTGAGGATGATCAGATATTGAGGATTGGGGGTTCTGGCTAAACTGACTTTTGCAGGGTTCTTTTGCTACAATTGGATGTTATGAGGAAGTACACAGAAGGGTCTAAGAGAAGTTTCAGAGGCCTGATGAAAGCATGGCTAAGCAAAGAATCTTTGTCAACAGTATCTTGTTAATGGTTAAAAAGGACATTTCTTGGGGTCAGATAAATTCCCGTTGGCTATGTAACCTTGGTCAAGTCTCTTTACCTCTTCAAGCCTTGGTTTCCTCATCTTTAAAGTAGAGATAATAACAGTGACTACATTATGGGATCACTGAGAGAAATAAATGAGGTGATGCTTGCAAAATATTTAGCACAAATCCTGGCCCTTGCAAGTGTTCTGTAAATATGAGTAAAGATAATAATAAGAGATTGTTGAAGAGTGGGTTTCTCTATAACTTCCTAAGGGATACATCTACCTGTTAAGGTTGTCAGACAACTCAGTCGGTGACAAGATTTTAGTTGTGTTTAGAAAAAGTTGTTTTGTATATCAGTTTCTATGGTGTAACATTTGTGTTTCTATTTCAGTTTAATTATTTGTCTTTATTCTATTATTTTTAAATGTTTATTTACTTATTTATTTATTTGAGGCAGGGTCCCACTCTGTTGCCCAGGCTGGAGTGCAGTGGCATGATTATAGCTCACTGCAGCCTCAAACTTCTGTACCTAAGTGATCCTCCTGCCTCAGCCTCCTAAGTAGCTGGGACTATGGCACATGCCACCATGCCTTGCTAATTTTTTAAATTTTTTGTAGAGAGAGAGTTGCGCTATTTTGCCCAGGCTGGTCTCAAACTCCTGCCCTCAAATGATCCTCTTGCCTTGGCTTCCCAAAGTGCTGAGATTACAGGTGTGAATCACTGCACCCAGCTGATTTCTCTCTATTTCTTAAGAAACTGTTCAATATGAACTAAAGAGAAAGGGGCATTTGGTAAAGCCTGAGAATTGATAGATTGTGAAAGGGAGATCAAGGGAAAAATCGCATTTGGGGAGGAACTACATTTATTACTTAAGGGTGAACTGGGAGGCGAGACAACCAAAAAATCTCAAGACCAGGGAAAGGGAAGGTGACAGGTACAGAGGTGACCTGGCAGACAGGATAAGGGGAGCTCTTGTTCTTGACAGAGGAAATGGTACAGAAAAATTCACAGATGTGAAGACATATGGGATGTACTCTGGGACTTGGGCTTCATTTGGCTGAAGCAAAAAGCATTTGCAGGGGAAAATGGGAGTAAGGATAAAGAAATGAGGTGTCATTCCAATGGGAAAGACTGTGATCTCCACAAGAGCAGGGAATTTATCTATTGGGTTCACCTCCATCTCTCTGTTGCTTACTAGTAGATGTACAATAACTATGTGATGAAATATTTTTAAAAATTGATCAGAAGTTTTCATTTTATTGGGTTTGAAGGGAAGTGAGAAACCACTGACATTTCATTTTGAATAATGGAATGACGTAAGAATACACTCTCTGAAGAGTAATCTTGTCATTTTCAATCAGATGGATTGGAGGAAGATGGAATTGTAAACAGGTAGACCAGTAGACCATATAATTATCTAGGGGAGATATGAGTGTGGTGACTGTTACGACATTTTAGAAATATTATCTGCAACTTTTACAATCTCTGCTAGGGGGATTTTAAGGAAAAGAAGAAATCAAAAGTCTCTCCAGTGTTTCTAGCCTGGACAAAGTGTAGACTGCCTGTGACCTTCATTCACTGGACAAATGTTACCTACATTATGCTGGATATTTTGCTGGACACTGGAGATTTAACAATGCTAAGAATTACAACAGGTATACCAGACCTGCAAGTCACTGCACAATATGCTGAGTGCTGTGGCTAATGTTGCCACAAATGAGTTATTAGATTACGGTGACTACACTTTAACTTGGCAGGGTAAGGCTACACAGGGGAGGTGGCAGTGGAACTGAGCCTTGAGTGGGAAAAACTGGTTTGGGTAAAGGAGAAATTGGTAATCTCAGTTCTGGACAGATTAAATCTGGCCGTTGTAAAACATTCAGATGTGAGCATTAGAAGGCAGATTAAACGGTGGATGTAGAGCTCAGGAAAGGAGCTGGAGGTAAATATGTGGACTTGGACAGCATCTGAGAGAGTGTGAGATTGTCAAGTGAGGAAAGACCCTGGACACACCACAAGAGAATGCTCCATTAAGGATCTAGAAGAAACAGTGTGCAAAGGATGAGTCAAGAAAGAGGGAGAACCAAGATAGTCGTAGAAGCATACAAGGGGTGACTCTTCTAAGAAGGAGGGGGCAGTAAAGTGTCCAGTTGCATGCAGAGACTAAAGAGTGAGATGGAAGAAAGAACTATTGGAGTAAATAATTCCTTGATGACTTTACCTTCCTGAGAGCATATCCCATGTCATCAACCCTCCATAGTGGTCTTGCTGTGGCTGTCTCGTTTGTAATGATTATGGAACCAAATTATTTAATTTGTAGACTATCAAGTTGCTTTGATATTTTTCACTTCTTATTGATAACTTTTCCTAAAAGAGTGGGTGAGAGACTTATATTCCCAGCCTCAATTTCCCTCACTTCAACCAGAGTGAATTTCTCTGTAATGCAGTTATGACTATGTAATAATGTAATGTTCCTGAACAAAGACATACTTAATATGAATGGAGAAATCTGAGCTGGCACTCAAATTTCTCCAAAATCTGAGCCTGAACTGCACAGGTGGTGGAGCATGGTGGAGAGACTATGAACTTTGGAGTCAGACAGGCACATTTGAAAGCAGCTCCCCTTCTTCCTGGCTGTCTGACTTGGACAACTGATGCCTCTCTTTGAGTTTCTTTTCT
This sequence comes from Homo sapiens, assembly GCF_000001405.40. Lineage (NCBI taxonomy): Eukaryota > Metazoa > Chordata > Mammalia > Primates > Hominidae > Homo > Homo sapiens. Next base: position 57,166,826 of record NC_000001.11, on the reverse strand, counting down.
GCTCATGGGCACCATTCCTGACTTATGATGGGTGCCCAATAATGTGGCATAGTCACTACTGTGCAGAGTTAGATGTAAGGTCTTTTACAACAGCTTTTCTGGCCTTGAATTTGCCTTTAACCCTAGTTGGGAATGGTCCTCTCATCTCCTCACACTCAGATAAATTGTGCGTATTATTTGAGACCTGACTTCAATACCACCTCTCCCTCAAAACTTTCCCAGACAACCCTGGTTCAAAGTCATCTTTTCTTTCTCCAAACCCCTATGATACTGCCCAGTATAATATATATGCTAGTTATTCCTGGGCTGACCTGGGCCATGACTTCTATTGTTCTGAACTTGTTTTTCTACCTTGATTACTTGTTTCAGTTTTCAAAGGTTTATGTGTTACTACTCTGACTTGATTGTAAATTCCTCGAGGTTATACAAAGGCCTTATAATTTAGTGCACCTATAATTTGTATCTCTCTTTTCTTCTTCTTTTTTGTTTTTCAATTCTTTGCAAGACATGGTCTAGTAGGGAAAATACATTATTTGGAGTCAAGGAGAGCTGGATTTGAATTAATTGGCAGCCAAATGAAGGTTGCATGATATGGAAGAAGTTACCTGTCTATTGTAAGCTTTTTTAACTCCTCATCCACCAAATTAAAAAAATAACAATACCTACCTCATAGGGCTATTGATGGCATAAACATAGCATAATTGCTTCTCCATTATGATGTTTATTACCACCTACTTGGACCTTACTGAGTAAATATGCAATAATGATTATTTCCATTTGTTAGGATTCCTTTAAAAGATTTGTTCTGGAGTCCTTAGCATCCCTTAGTCCTCCACTGAAATGCTGCCTGATTCATGCAGCCAGCCCTGACCCATCCATCAGAATGTCTAACTCTTCCTCGGTGCTTCCTTTGCAAATTGGTGGCACCTCTATTTACATTTCATCTTAACCTGTGTTTCTTCCAGTAGACTGGGGACTTCTTAAAGGAGGAAATTTTATCTTACTTATCTCCACAGGGAGAAAAGAGAGGTAGAGTGGAAAGCAAACAGATGTGGAAACACACATAGCTGGGGTGAATTCTGGATGAATCACATCTCCTTATTGGCTATGTGAACTCTGGGCAAGTTTCTTGATCTCAAAAAGCCTATTTCCTCCTCTGCATAAATTGAGATCATACTACCTCTTAGGGCAGTTGAAATTTTTCTTCAGGCTAAATGAAAAGTAATGTATGTGAAAATGTTTATCACTGTATCTGGAACACAATAGATGTTTAATAAATGGCAGCCCCAGCTCCTTGCACAATGGCAGTCACATAAAAGATGCTCACAAAATGTTGACTGAATTAAACTAAATGGGATTTAACACTTATTTCTGTTTTCTATTGATTGTTTTATCCTATTACTGCTCATTATCAAAATTTGTCACATTTTTCTTCCAGGCAATTTGCTGCCATGGTTTAAGAAGTATTAAGATCATGTTTATAGACCATATTGAGCTCTTTGGAAGGGAGGTACTTTTTTGAAATTAGCAAGGCTGTGTAGGTTTTCATGCTTTTGTTATCTGATTAAAAAAAAAACCTATTTTTTCTTTTGTTTGCAGAAAGGCGACAAAAAAAGTTGTTTAGGAGATAATTGGCTGTTACATATTAAATTAATTAAATGCTAAGCCATGTTGGGGAATGAACTACAAAATGCGGCAATTTGAGGTCTGGGGATGAAAGAAGGGGAAAGATCATCCAACCGAAACTTTCTCTTTTTATGGCTGTATTGCAGTTGGAAAGCTAAGGAGGGAGAATTAGGGTAAACCAAGGGTCCCTGGGGCAGCCAACTGTGGTGAGACTGTCTCCATCCCTTCCCTTCAGCAAGTACAGAGTAACTGTCTCCCTGCCACCAGATATACAGAAACTCATGTCTGGTATTAGTGAAAGTTTTCTAGTTGCAAGTAACAAATCAACCTGAGTAGACCTGACTGTAATAGGAGGGCATATTATAAGGAACCAGAGGTGTCTCACAGAACCCAAGGAAGGGAATGAGTAAGCAGAGCCTCTGCAAAGATGACCCAGGAATTTGGAATCAGCAAGAGCCCCAGCAGTGCTTTCTCTCTGTGGTCACTTCTTCTTTCAGAACATCCTTTCTCTTTGCCTTTTCATAAGATTGGCTTCCTCTTAGCCAGGCCAATGGCAGGAAAAGATGACTACTCAGAATTCTACATTTACATGTTACGATGCTGGTCACTAGGTGAGATTGACTCCTCTCTCTGCTTGAATACCCAATTCCCCAGGAAAAGGCTGTCCCTAATCAACACAGCTTGGATTGGTGTCACCATCTCCAGGTAAAGTCATGCTGTATAAACATGGTCACTGTGGTTCTATTGCTGGATGGGAGGGTCAGCTGGTGGTTCAATCACCAAGATCTGGAGGGTATCTCAAAAGGTGTCTACTCTTGATGAATGAGACAAGTCCCAGCTCTCATGAAGTCAGTGAGATAGAAGCAATTTTAAAAATAATAAATCAGTTGAGAAATAAACAAATCCCCAAAATTCTGTGGTGCTTTTATATGGTCATATCTGTGCTAAGAAGCAGCAGCCATGGTTTTTCAGCATTGACATAGTTCAATCTGAAATTTGGCACTAAATTTAAACTGAAAGGAAAGGAACTCATATTTATGGAGTGTCTATCCACCAGACAGGCCAGGCACTTTCCCTTGTCCTCATTTCATTCCGAGACCTCAAACCTCATATTGTCTCTTCCATATGATAAATGAGGAAATGAAGTTCCCAGAGAATGTGACTGCCCAAGGTTACAGTTCCAGGCACTGAAACTTAATCAAGACTGGACCCAAACTGGCAGAGCAGGCATTTGGAAATTGCTCTCTCTGCTCTGAATCCTGCATACTCTCCACACAACCAGAATTTGACAGGCCTTCAATGGAATATTAAGGCACCAGGTTCTCTTGGCTTTTGATGCCTTTGTATTAGGAAGTGACCCTGCCTTCCACTAAGGTGCTCAAGCCAAAACCCAGAGTTACACTTGTTCTTCCCTTTTCCTGTCTCTTCCACAATCTAAAAATAATCCCTTTCTGCTCTTCCTCCAGCATATTTTTTGATTCAGCCCATTTCTTATCTAGTGCTGTCATCCTTGTCTCGTCACTCATCTGGATTATTAGCCCCTGCTTCTACTTCTCCCCCTTTCCACAGAGCATTCAGAAAAATCTTTACAAAATGTGAGTCATGCCCCTGCATAAGGTACCGCCGCCCCCACCACCAGCGTGGCTTTCCATTGCACTCAGAACCAAACCTGCCCTCCTTACCTTGCCTCACAAAGCAGCACACGAGGGAGCCCTGCCTCCCTCCTGACTTCCACCTCTAACCCCCTTCCCCTTGCTTGCTCTGCTGTGATCATACTAGCTCCTTTCTGTTTTATAAACAGGCCAAACACATTCCCTCCTGGCATGACTGCCCTTTTCTTGTTCACATCTCCTTTCAAATGTCATTTCTACAGAAATGCCTTCATGGACCAGCCTGTCTAAATTAATTGTTCCCCACCCTTTCCCAGTCACTCCTTGTTTCATCAGACTATTTTATCCCCTTCATAACACTTATCCCTATCTGGAATGATCTTGTTCATTATTTATTTACTTCCTCATTATCTTCCTTCCCCCTCTCAGATCAGCAGCTCTAGGAGAGCGGGAGCTTCCTCCCTCTGGTTCATGACTGTGCCCTGGGACTTGGGCCAGTGCTTGGCACGTAGTGGGCATTCAGTACATGTTGGTGGAATGAATGAATATTAGGCTGACCATGATAGAAATCCAGGGAGTCAGGGCTGAGGCCTGTGCCCTTGCATTCATTAGGAACAACTGTCGGGTGGGGACACTTAGTCACTGTCTCTTCCAGCACATTCTACTTAAACCCTCTATCACTGAGATTTATCTCTGAGTTTAATCAAATGTAATTTATATTGCAGCCTTCTCAGTAAATAATTGATTTGCACTCTCTGTTTTCTTCATCACAAATACCCCTTTGTACTCTAAAGAAATAATTTAGTCAGTCAATAGTATAACACAGCACTCTTGTTTAGAAGGCAGATGGAAGATAAAACATAAGAGTTGTTCACACCAGAATATACCAAGACCAAAATAATCTCCTTTACAAAAAATACTCCGCAAACAAGTTGCTGGCAGAGACACCCACTTAAATCCCTTGGATTTTTTCTAATGGAGGTGACCCCATGGAAGTTGTAGCTGCTACAGAAGAAAGTTTGTGGCCAATTGCAGGTTGCACGTGCAAATAGAAACTCTTGTTCATTTGTGGTTTAATTAACCTCTGTCTAGGTCCAAGAGCAAGCCTTCAAATGCCTAGTGTGAACACACATTGGGTGAGAGCTCTAAGTTAGGGGTTCTGCACTGCCTATGACCTCAGACTCACTGAGTAAATCCAATTCTCCTGCTTCCTCCTTCTTTGCAATTGGTCCCTCAGGCTTCCATGGGCAATGTGTCCAGAGCTTACGGGCATTCTTTTGTAATCCAAATTATACAAACACTCCTCCTTTGCCCTTCTGTGCTTCTCCCAAAGCAAGACAACCAGAGAGGTAAATTTTGCATTTGTTTTCACACATTTGTCTATTTTGAGCCCACACTTTTCTGGTGCAGAAGAAAGGAGGGGAAGATGATGAAGCAACAACTCTGATAAGCGTGAAAGGCTCCAAGGAGGCATTCTCGCAGGGAAAATGCATCTTTTCACTGCCTTTAGTAAGAATCCTCAATATTGTTTTCTTTATTCTGTTTTCATTGGAAACATCTTAACTATCCAATTATAGGGGACTGCTTAAATAAATTGTGATACATCTGTAGGATGGGCTATTGCACAGCCAATAAGAATCATGTCACAAAAATATCAATATGGGAAAACATATATAATTTACGCTGCCAGATGAAAAAAGCAAGACACAGATTTATAGTATGAACTTTTTTTTTTTTTTTGAAGAATGGGTGTTTGCGTGTGTATGCACTTAGGGAAAAGCTTGGAAGAGTATACACTTGAATGCAACCATAAATGTACCTGGGTGGTGTTATGGGTGGCTTTCCTCTCCTTTTTCTCTTCTACACTTTCCAAATGTTAAGTCTTGAACATGTTTCCCTTTGTAATTAGAAAGTTAAAAAAATAAAAAGCACTTGTTTAAAAGAACTGAAATACAAAAATTTTAAAAATACATTTGTTATTTTTTATTTGGAAAAAAGGTCATATTCACTCCTCATCAGCTAATACGACTTTGTCAGTGCCTGGTACCTGTTATTATGTGTATTAGCCAAAGGGAAGCAAGTTGTGAACTTTAGAAAGGCAAATTTCACTGCATCTCCTGGTTCTGGTGGTAGTGAGGCTGCCTTTGGATGGGTGATCACCCTGCTCTGTCTTACAGGTGCAGCCCAGCTGCCCAGGATGGCTGGCAAACACGCAACAGTTTTGCCGGGGGACTTTGAGTTGCCTTGGGTAGGAAAAGTTTTAGCTCTGGTTGTTCTCTTTTGATTAGGCTTAGCCTCTTGGAATCTGATCAGTATTAGTTTACATTATCTGAGCACTCGGTGCTGCCTCTGAGCACCACGCCTGTCATTCTTGGATTATTGCACGAACTTTCTGGCTTGTCTCTCCATATCAAGACTCTTTCAGACTCTCCCCCAAATGCATTGATTTTGTACTGTCTTTGGTGGAGTCCCTAGGAAACCAGTGACTGAGACAAAGATTTGCTGTAGGACACTACAGCAAATTCCCAATAAGGGAATGTCCTCTGAATCAGAACCGCTGGAGGAGTGAAGGTGGTAGGCTCTGGCAGAGGGAAGAGTTGAACCGTGATGCAGTTGCAGCAAAGGCGTCACCTGCTCCCACTATCCCGTGGGAGTTTTCCTTCAGGATTGTCTCAAACTGAGACATGGGGCCTGGGTGTTTATACCCAGCCCCATCTAATCAACCAGTTATTGATTGGATGCTGCTACTAGGAGGAGGGATATGATTGCAGGCAGTTCCGACAATCATCCTGCAAGGTAAGCATTATTTCCTCAATTGTAGTGAGATGAAGTGACTTGCTCTTGACCAAGAAGATCCTGAATGGCAACACCAGATGAGAATGGAGGTTTCTCCTGGTATCTGTCCTTTCTCATTCATTACCCTGGTCCTCTTCACCTTTGACTGTAGATCCAGCTTTCCTGCTGTATTTCATGTGCATCATTCAGCCTTGCCTTCATCCGTGCAGCACCACAACCAAAATAGGACCCTTTGGTTACAAATGACAGAAGCACAAATAAATATCATGACTGTGGATTCAGATCTGGCCTTTCCCTGTCTCATGCAGTCCTATTTCTTACCCAGCCTCAAGCTTTGGATTCTCTTCCTTTCAGCATTCTTTTCTTTACATGCCTTTCTTTTTTAGCACACCTGCCCCTGCCTTTGCTAGCTCTGTGAACTTGGGCCAGTCTTTATCTCCTGGAGTCTCAATTTCCTCAACTATAAGAAGGGATTAATAATGCATGTCATGCTAGGTGGCTGTGAGGAACAAAAGGACAATGAAAAAGAACTTACATATTGTTTAAAGCCTATTCTGTGCCTGCCTTGCAGAGTGGTATCAACATGAAATAAACTATTATATACCTAGTGTAATACTTTACTCTTAATGGCAACACATACCAAAAAACCTGCTTTGTTTCTTGGGCACCAGGAAAAAGACACAAGCCCACTGATGAGAAAATCTAAGAAGCAAATGCTGTCACGCCATCCTTAGGCTGTGGGTAAGCAAGTGTGTAAAAATAAAGCTGCAGATTTAAAGTCAGACTAGTCACTCCTTGATTTGCCCAGATGAGCAGGATAGGCTACGCTCCTCAAGCCTTCATGGGAGGACGTCAGAAAGACTCAGCAACTGATGATTATAGCTGTCTTTACCGTCTTAAAACCAAGAGGTTTTTCCTTTTTTTTTTTTTTTTTTTTTGTCTTGCTGCTTCTACCTTGTACGTGAAGATATTATTGGCCATTTTTCTATGATTCCTGGCTTTCCTTTGTCTGGAAAAATTGCTGGGAGTCATAGAACTGCTGAGCCTGATTAATAGTACCTGAGACCTTTGGGCCCTGTGACTGAAATTTAAACTTGGTTTTCCAATGTTCTAAGACACTATGCATATGTGTGTTGGGGGTGGCAGGGTGGCGTTGGAAACTCTGTGTACAGAAACAGCAATTTCCCTTTTGATATATATTTATTTATTCAGCAAATATTAAGTACCCACTGTATGCCAATGACTGTTCTTGTTGTATGGGATACACAGAAAACAAATTTAAGAAAATGTTAGCCCTCATAAACTTACAGTCTACCAAGGGGAGATTGTAGGGCCTGGCTTTTTCTTGCTTTAATTTGCCATTGCATGTGGGAACCACCACCAGGGATATAAGCATGCCCTTAACTGATTTGGCATGATCATCTCTTTAGTCTTTTCCTCAGAGAAACTAGAAAATGGTGCTTCAAGAGACACTGCTAGGAGATAGTCTAAGGGTTTTTGCAGAGACAGAATGTGGCTGATGATCATTTTCTTTTGTTATTAAGAATTTATTAATAATGTCCTACAGTCTTAAAATATATTTTTCAAATACAATAAAAGACCCAGAGGAAGAAAAAAAAAACCTGAAATAAATACTAGTAGACCTTTGCCAGAGAAATGCAAAAAGGACCAACTATTGGAGCAGAAGAATTGGGTTATGCATATGAGGTCCCACAAGCGTCCTGTCTTATAACTCAGTGGTTCCTGATCTGGTTCTGCCTCAGAATCATTGGCCAAACTTTAAAGTTCAGATTCCCAGGTTCTCAGATGAGAATCTCTGCCTGGTACCATAGCACTTCACTTTCTACAGAAACGTGAAAATTGATTCCAGATGCCTTTTATGCAAGGCACTTTTCAGAAGTACCAGAGAACATTTTTAAAGAAAATGTGTGCATGAGTCATAGGTTGAATATTATTTTAGCTCTTTAATTAGTTTACCTTTTAGCAATAATGACAGCAACCATGTTCATAAAAACACATTTTAACAGCCCCCTAAGTGTGTTTTTCCTCTTGTTCTGCTCACTACCCAGCTAGTTAATTACATAAAATCAGCATTCTCTCCTACACAGCCAGCATACATAATTATTTGTCCATTGCAAATCAACACCTGGATAATTGCAAGATAGAATTTAGAGTAAAATAAGTTATCTGTCTGCTGGGCCCTGAAATTCCCCCACAATCTGTTCTTAAATTGGATAGCCTAACAGACAATAGGGCTCTTTCAGCAATGGACAGAATGATGTTTGACAGCCAAGGGGGAAAGTAAAACAACCTTTCGAAATTTTCTTATCATCAGGATGGATAGCCTCTGATTCAGATAGATATGCAGAAGGAGGGAGAATCTCTCTGTGTTAATAATTTACAAGGTGATCTCCCTATTGCCTTCGGGAAGGAACATCCTGTTCTTAATTGCACCCTTATTCCCAGGCAACAACAACAAAAAAATCCCAAACAGCTGGGACCATTCCTTCCAATGCACTACAACTTTGCTATGGTTAGCTTTGGGCCACTGATGCTTAATGTAAAATATATTACTTGGGGAGAAAGAAGGCAGTAAATATTTACTGAATGACTTCCATGTGCCAGGCAGTGTGCTAAGAGCATAACATATATTATTCCTATGGTCCTAGTAACTATTCTACAGAGGAATACAGGTAACCACAATGTTTTGCATATGAAGAGCCTAACACTCAGAAACTTTAACTTGCTTATACACAGGAAGTAGCATACCGTGATTTAAATGTGATGCCTTCCGACCTCAAAGGGTTAGGCAGCTACGCCCTCCTTAGCAGCGTGGCCTCGCACCAATGACTTCATTTCCCTGTGCCTCCGTTTCCTCCTTCTCTGAATGTGTTGCAGTTCTTTCCTCCAAGGTTGTTGTGAAGTTTAAATAAAACAATTTATGAGAATGGGACAGGCATGCTCATTTCTCAGGTAGCATTCAGCTTTTCACATCTCCTTCCTAATTCTAGCCCCCATTATGGATCGTATGTTTGTGTCTCCCCAATATTAATATGTTGAAGCCCTAACTCCCAATGTAATAATATTTGCAGGTGGGGTCTTTGGGAGATAATTAGCTTTAGATGACATCATGAAAGTAGAGTATTCATGATGGGATTAGTGGCTTTGTAAGAAGAGGAAAGGAGGCCAGGGCTTTCTCTCTCTCTCTCTCTCTCTCTCTCTCTTTCTCAGTGCATGCACAAAAAGAGATCTTCTGAGCACACAGTGAGACAGTGGCAATCTGCAAGCCAGGAAGGGGGCCCTCACCAACAACCAAATCTTCCAGCACTTGATCTTGGACTGCTCAGCCTCCAGAACCATGAGAAATAAATGTCTGTTGTTTAAGCCATGCAGTCTATGGTATTTTATTATAGTGGTCTGCGCTGATAAGACATCTCCTTAGATGTTTAAGTATCTAATGCACAGAAGTGAATACTCAGCTTGATATAAGAAATATGTTGGAGTTGACCCCTCCAAGACAGGGAAATATTGTAACTGTCAAAAGTTAAAAGAATTCACAGCCAGAATGACCACATTAGGAAAAAAAAATACTTATCTTGGCTGTGCTTATTATAATCTATGATGAGTGGGAGAGATAAGATAATAGTCTTGGATGTGAAATAACTTTTATTTGGCCATTAATGGTCTTTAGAGCGCAGCCTGGAGTGGGAGGCCATTTACGACTCCAGTGGACTCTGTGGGCTCTGCTTCAGTGTCATAAAAAATGCTAATTGCCTTCCTCCTTCGGATCCTGACTCCTGACAGAGGCATTTGATTTTGTTGAAGCTTCTGCAAGGTGACTCCCATTCTGGGACCTCAACATTGGCAGAGACTTCTGCTGCTTCTGCTTTGAGACAGTTACTTAGTGTACTTCCTGACAGAATCTTCGAGGTCTGTGGAAAATGGGGAATTTACTCTGTGCCCAGAAGAATCGGCTGGATTTAAATTCAGAGGAGAGCCATTCCCCCGGTTAGGAGATGATCAGGTTGTGATGAGGTTGAGAAATGCTCTTCTCTAATGGCATAAAGCAAAGCCAATATTAAAATGACTATGAGTGTGATGTTTATTTTATCCCATTAGGAATTTTATTCCTTGAGGACTAAATGAATCATACTTATGGACTGTATAAAATAAGATCTGTATGGGAGGGGTTTTTAATAACCCCTTAGATGCCTCCCCCAAGTGGTCCTGACTCCTGGAGTCCATTACCCACTTTAGCATAAATAAATTAATTAAATCATTTTTTCAGTTATTCAGCAGATCTGGACACCGCAGGTCTGCTCTGTTCTGGCATCACGCTAGGTTCAGAGGACACAGTCAAATGAATTTCAGTTCCTACCCTTATAGAGTTCAAGTGTAGAGGAGACAGTTGGAGAAGAGGAACTAGCAAGGGCAAAGGGCATGGAGGTGCCTAGCCCATAAGGCTGGAGTTAAGGGTGGGGGCAAGAGGGCACAAATGAGGTGAGAGAATAAGAGGGAGGAGAGCCTGTGGCAGCTGGGTGGAAGAGGATAACATTTTTCATTTTTGGTCAGATAGTGCATGATGAGATGACACTTGGTGTGGATCTTTTTGGAAGCAGTGTGGGGCATGGATTAGAGGGTGAAAGCGGAGGCACATCTACTGTGACTCCTGGAAGCCTCCAGACTCTTTTAAGTGATATATATGTGTACCCCAGCCCTGCTACACATTAAAGACAGCAGCCTACAGGGTTCCCCATGATCCATTATGAAATTCAAAATGGTTGATTCTTAGGGCATCCAAATTGGGATGGAAGAAGTCAAATTATCATTGTTTGCAGATGATATGATCTTCTATTTGGAAAAACCTAACAACTCCACAAAAAAACTGTTAGAACTGATAAACCAGTAAAGTTGCAGGATACAAAATCAACATGCAAAAATCAGTAGCATTTCTATATGCTAATAGTGAACAATCTGAAAAAGAAATAAAGGCAATCTAATAAAATGAAATACCTAGGAATTAACCAAAAAAAAAAAAAAAGAAAGATCTCTGTATTGAAAACTGTAAAACACTGATGAAAGAAATTGAAGAGGACACTAAAAATGGAAAAATATTCCATGTTCATAGGGTGGAAGAATCAATATTATTAAAATGTCCATACTACCCAAAACAGTCTCCAGATTCAATACAATCCTTATCAAAATACCAATAACGTTCCTCATAGAAATAGAAAAAAAAATCCTAAAATTTATATGGAACCACAAAAAACTCAGACTATCTAAAGCCATCCTAAGCAGAAAAAAAAACAAAAACAAAAACAAAACTGGAAGAATCACATTACCTGACTTCAAATTATACTACAGAGCTATAGTAACCAAAACAGCACCGCACTGGCCTAAAAATAGACACATAGACCAATGGAACAGAATAGAGCACCCAGAAACAAATCAACACACCTACAGTGAACTCATTTTCAACAAAGTTACCAAGAATATACACTTGGGAAAAAAAAGTCTCTCTAATAAATGGTGCTGAGAAAATTGGATATCCATATGCAGAAGAATGAAAGTAGACCCTTTCTCTTGCCATATACACAGATCAAATCAAAATGGGTAAAGACTTAAATATAAGACCTCAGTCTATTAAACTTCTACAAGAAAACATTGGAGAAAATCTGCAGGACATGGGTCTGGGCAAAAATTTCTTCGGCAGTAACCCACAAGCACAGGCAATGAAAGCAAAATTTCCATGTACAAATGGGATCACATCAAGCTAAAAAGCTTCTGCACAGCACAGGAAAGTAAAGACATAACCCACAGAATGAGATAAAATATTTGCAAACTACCACCCTGAAAAGGGATTAAATATAAGGAGCTCAAACAACTCCATAGGAAAAAATCTAGTAAGCTGATCAAAAATTGGACAAAGATTTGAATGGACATTTCTCAAAAGAAGACATTCAAATGGCAAACAGGCATATGAAAAGGTGCTCAATGTCATTGATCATCAGAGAAATGCAAATCAAAACTACAATGAGATATCATCTCGCCCCAGTTAAAATAGCTTCTATCCAAAAGACAGGTAATAACAAATGCTGACAAAGATGTGGAGAAAAGGAAACCCTTGTACACTGTTGGTGAGAATATAAATTAGTACAACCACTATGGAGAACAGTTTGGAAGTTCCTCAAAAACTAGAAATAGAGCTACAATATGATCTAGCAATCCCACTGCTGGGTATATACCCAAAAGAAAGGAAATCAGTATATCAAAGAGATATCTGCACTCTCATGTTTGTTGCAGCACTGTTGACAATAACTAAGATCTGTGAGCAACCTTATTTGTTGTCCATCAACAGATGAATGGATAAAGAAAATGTTACATTTACATAATGGAGTACTATTCCGTCATAAAAAAGGATGAGACTCTTGTCATTTGCAACCACATGGATGGAACTGGAGATCATTAGGTTAAGTGAAATAAGCCAGGCACAGAAAGACAAACATTGCATGTTCTTACTTATTTGTGGGATCTAAAAATCAAAACAATTGAATTCATAGAGCTGGAGAGTAAAAGGATGGTTACTAGAGGCTGGGAAGGGTAGTGGGGGCTGCAGTGGGGATGGCTAATGGTACAAAAAATAGAATAAGTTCTACTATTTGATAGCACAACAAGGTGACTATAGCCAATAATAATGTAATCATACATTTTAATATAACTGAAAGAGCATAATTGGATTGTTTGTAACACAAAGGATAAATGCTTGAGAGATAGATACTCCATTCTCCATGATGTGATTAGTATGCATTGCATGTTTGTATCAAAACATGTTGTGTACCCCATAAATACATACACCGGCCAGGGGTGGTGGCTCATGCCTGTAATCCCAACACTTTGGAAGGCCGAGGCAGGTGGATCACAAGGTCAGGAGATCGAGACCATCCTGGCTAACACGGTGAAACCCCATCTCTACTAAAAAATACAAAAAAATTAGCCAGGTGTGGTGGCGGTCGCCTGTAATCCCAGCTACTCAGGAGGCTGAGGCAAGAGAATGGCGTGAACCTGGGAGGTGGAGTTTGCAGTGAGCCGAGATTGCGCCACTGCCCTCCAGCCTGAGTGACAGAGCAAGACTCCGTCTCAAAAACAAACAAACAAACAAACAAAAAAAAAACCCCATACATATACCTACTATGTAACCAGAAAAATTAAAATAAAAAAACCAAAATGGATGATTCTTAGAAACCCAAATGTCTCATTATGATTGTTAGTTTGCTGTGACTCCCTGAGGATTTTTCAAGTTGTTATGTCTCATTCAGAGAGATCTGCAAAAAATCATTGTGAGATACAGGTACTCCCCGGGTTATGCAAGATAATCTGCTGGTACCTGAGAAAAATATAAGATGTCTATTTATGTTTGATTTTAATCCAAAAAGTTCTAAGAAAAAGTAAGCTTTAATAATACTATATGGGGCTGGGTGCGGTGGCTCATGCCTATAATCCCAGCACTCAGGGAGGCCGAGGCAGGCAGATCACTTGAAGCCAAGAGTTCGAGACCAGCCTGGCCAACATGGTGAAACACCATCTCCACTAAAAATACAAAAATTAGCCAGGTATGGTGGCGTACGCCTGTAATCCCAGTGATTCGGGTGGCTGAGGCACGAGAATCGCTCGAACCCGGGAGGCAGAGATTGCAGTGAGCTAAGATCATACCACTGCACGTCAGCCTGGATGACAGAGTGAGATTCTGCCTCAAAATAGTAATGATAATAATAATATATAGATTATCAGTAGTACATGTATGTAATTTATACAGAAATATATCTATCTTAGAGTTACGTGCTCAAAAATGTTTTACTAATAGTGGTATGTGATTGTAAAACTGGAGACCTAAGTTCTGTGGATTTATGAAGACCTGGGTTCAAATCCTAGCTTTAGCACTTACCAACTCAGTTCTGTTCCTAGATTTAACATATGTGGACAACCACCACATAATGTTGCTATAACAATAAACTGATATATCCAATGTACATCATACAGTTATAAATATTAGTTATAAATAAATTAGTTATAAATATATTAACTATTCATAAATATCATCGTATACAATTATCACTTGGAGACACTTTTGAAACCATCTTTTCCCTATGAACATTCATTGAGCAGCTGGGGAGATTGAACCTCAAGGGCAAGTGACATCACATAGGTGAAGGTACAGTAGCAGAGATAACATCTGAATCCAGGCCTCTTTCCTTCTTTCTTTCCAGGCAGTTACTGCTTTTCTTTCAGGGGGCTTGGTTTCCAGGCAACTCTATGATGCTGCATAACCCCTATATCTTCCTCCTTTGGAATTCAAATCAGTGCTACATTGAAAATTCAATTCTCGGATTACTTGAAGAGCCTTGGATTGAGATCCCAGATAAAGCATTCCCTATTAGTTGTTGGCAATTAGTTTGTTTATGGAACCAAGTGAAGCAGGTGTATCAGAGCAGAAATCTTCAAACCATTCGATACAGGATTGCTTTCCTCTGAGCCAAGTAGGAAAGTGTTAAGGATGTGGTGCACCCTCCCCTACCGCACTGGCACTCCTGACCTGCCAGAGGTATGCTCACCCAGACAGCCACAAATGATACCAAGTAGTATTTCTCACACTTAAGGAGATCCCTTTTAAAGATTAGAAAAGACACCCGGCATGGTGGCTTATGCCTGTAATGCCAGCACTTCGGGAGGCCGAGGCAGGCAGATCACTTGAGGTTAGGAGTTCGAGACCAGCCTGGCCAACATGGGGAAACCTCATCTCTACCAAAAATACAAAAATCAGCCGGGCATGGTGGCGGGCACCTGTAACCCCAGCTACCCAGGAGGCTGAGGCGGGAGAATCGCTTGAACCTGGGAGGTGGAGGTTGCAGTGAGCAGAGATCGAGCTACTGCACTCCAGCCTGGGCAATAGAGCGAGACTGTGTCTCAAAAAAAAAAAAAAAAAAAAAAAATTAAACATTAGAAAAGAAATTTTCAGGTTTTTAAGAAACCAGAGTTGAAGTCTATGAAAGTATCTTTGAAATATATTATTACTAACAACTTTTTTTCTTCACAAATTTAAATTTTTAAAAATATTTAAGAGATTATTATCTATTTGAAAACCCCAAATTGAAACTTTGGAAAGTTTTGTTCTGAGGACCCCAGTCTGAGAAATATCATCTTACAAGGGATTCTCTACATTGCTGTTCTCTAGTGATCTTTGAGAATTACTCTGAATCAATTCCATCTGCTTGGTCCCTCTGGCTGGTGCAGAATCTCACTGGAAGGGATTTAGGAACCTGTTGTTGCTGTTGTGGTTTTTACAGGGGATTCTTCATTACACTAAACTTAGAAAATTACAGCAAAACTCCATTGACTTCCCACTAGGATATAAGTTCCCTGAGTACAGGGATATTTATATGTTTTGTTTCCTGCAGCATCTGGAGGACCTTAGAACACGTATATAGTAGACACTCAATAAATATCAAATAAAGGAATGAATGAATCAATTAATTACAGCCTTATACTTCCCCACATGTTGCTATAATGTTCTTTTTAATCTAATCCTCACAACAAACCTGGGTCATTAATAGACCTTGTGGTCTAAGAACAATGTTCAAAGGCTTTAACTTGGCTTCCAAGATGCTTCATGATTTGTCTGCCCTTTGAGTGCATCGCTCTAGCCATGCCCTCTAGTACTGTGTTTTGCAAGTACATTAATTGGCCCTGGCTCACCGCAGACCCATCTAATCAAAATCTGTAAGGTGCCAGGGTTTTTTAAATTTCTTTTGAGACAGGGTTTTCTTATGCTGCCCAGGCTGGTTTCAAACTGCTGGGCTCAAGCAATCCTCCCTCCTTGGCCTCTCAAAGTGCTGGGATTGCAGGTGCACTCCACCAGTATAGGCTCTGGGGTGGTGTTTTTAAAAAATTCCCAAGGTGATTCCAGAAGATAATTAGGATTGCTAAACAGTCTAAGCCAACTACTCACTGTTCTCCAAATATCCTTGTACATTTTGTTTATCTGGAAAGCTTCTCACCTTCTTCCCTACCTCTTGAAACCCTCCTTTTTTACAAGGCTTTACTCAAATGCCATCTCTCCTCTGTAGCTCTTCCTAATCATCTCCCTACCAAATACAGTTTCTCCACCCCTTAGGAAAACACATTGCTTAACAAAATATGACCAGAGCTGTGAGTGTCATATAGTGCCAAGGGGTGGAGAAATTGTATATGACGCCTTTTGAAATGTGGCTTCCTCTGGGCAGGAGAAAGGACACTTTTTGCTCACCCATGTACCACTGGAAGCTAGCACAGTGCCTAGCATGAAGAACACTGAGGCAGGACAGTATACAAATGATGATCATATAATTAATTAGGGTAACCACACAGTCTCTTAACCAAACTGGAATACTTTTGAGAATAATGAGGGATGCTAGTAACAACAGTGTCAGTACAAAAGTTTCTGGGGCTGTCGCAGACAAACTGAAAGTATGATCACCCAAATAACAATGACCAATGTTGATTAAGCTCTTACTGTTTGCCAATCACTCACTGTCTTGTATGCTATTTGTCATTTCTTTAATACTGGGAGCACCCATTAGTATCTATACTTAACTGCTTAGGACACTGTGGCAGACATGTAAAGGAACTTACCAACGATTATACAACTAAGGAGGTAGGTCAGAGAGCTGGGGCTTGAACTCAGGTCCTCTGAATCCAGAACTCATGTTCTAGACCATCAAGGCCTATTGTCTCTCAGTGGGAGAACTCAAGCCTTGGAGTAGGACAGGATGAGAAGTAACTTTAGTTACCTCTTGGGCTCCAGTTTCTTCATCCATAAAATAATAACAGTGGTGGTTTTCAGTAACCTTGGAAGATTAAATGACATAAGGCATAAGAAGGGCATGTGTGCTTGTGAACTACTTGTCTTTAAGAGTAAGACGTCTGCCAGTTTATCCATAAGACATCTACTCAAGTAGCTGTGACACGAAAAAATGAGGCTAAATTCTGTAGCAGAACACAGAGGTAGGTCATAGGAAGCCCCATAGTGATTCCTATGGTTCCTATGGTTCATGGTTAAGACCATGAAATTTTACACAAGACCTGGGTTCAAACTGAGGCTCTGGGATTTGAATAGATATTTCTCCAAAGAAGATATGCAAATGAACAATAGGCACATGAAAAGATGCTCAACATCATTACTCCTTAGGGAAATGCAAGTCAAAGCTGCAATGAAATATCACTTAACACCTACTAGGATGGCTAAAGTAAAAGAGACAGACAATAACAGATGTTGGGAAGAACATCTGGTAAAGAAATTGGAACCTTATATTTTGCTAGGAGGGTTGTAAAATGGTGCAGACACTTTGGAAAAACAAATTGACAGTTCTCCAAAAAGTTAAATATAGAGTTACCATATGATGCGACAATTCCTTTCTTCGGAATAATTTTAAGAGAATTGAATATATACAGCCACACAAAAACTTGTACACAAATGTTCATAGCAGCATTATTCATAATAGCTGAAGAATGGAAACAACCCAAAGATCTATGAGCTAATGTGGTATAACCACACAATAGAATAATATTCAGCAAAAAAAGCATTACTGATACATGCTATAACATGGATGAACCTTGAGAACATGCTGCTAAGTAAAAGAAACCAAACCCAAAAAATTGTATATTATAAAATAACAATTATATAAATGTCTAGAATAGGCAAATGTATAAAGACGGGAGGAGATTAGTGGTTGCTTAGCACCAGAGGGAATGGGAAGATAGGGAGTGACAGCTAATGGGTACAGGGCTTCTTTGTGGGATGACAAAAATGTTCCAAAATTAGATAGTGGTGATGGTTATACAATTCTGTGACTATACTAAACCCACTGGATTCTATACTTTAAAATGGTGAATTGTACAGTATGTGAGTTGTATCTCAATATAGCTGTTATTTAAACATTCAGGTTATGCTGTGGACTTTGGGTGTTTGTGTTGTCTTCTGAAAAGAGGACTCATTATGGAGCCTAACTCAAGAGCAAATGTGAAGATTAAATGAGAAATTGCGTGTGAAACCCTTGGCACAGTAACTGTACTAAAAACTCAATAACAGTGACCATATGGGTGATTTTCCTTAAACGTGTGGTCTTTCTCTTGCCCATCTTGAAGCAGAGGGTCAGTGGTGTTTTCAGTAACATAGTCTGGGATTCATGGTGACCTAAAATGCATGAAGACTGATCCTATTCCCAACACCTTTATATTGTATGTGCCTCAGATAGAATTAAAGCCTTATGGCTCCGATATCTGTTATTTATTTCTTAACTAATATAACTGAGACCTTGCTCAAGATGTACTCATGAAAAATTACCCTTTTAATGGTGAAGCATTTAATGAGAAACTGGATTATCTACTGCATAAGTGCCCTTCATACAAATTAGCTTGGCCCTAGGTCCTAATCTAAATTGGGCTCCCTACTTTCCTCTAAATGGCCTAATATTTTCTTATTAATCTCTGCCCTTGTTCACCTGCTATGGCTCTGCCTTCTCTTATGAATCTTCTTTCTCGGCAGAGTTCTGTGTCCTGACAAATGTTTCTTAAGGCTTCTTTGTATCTGACTCATAGACAGTTTTTTAGAGATGACTGATGACTGGAATCTGTTCCATTTTCAAGCTGTCTCTCCATCCTTCCATGGAGTTTTAATGCTGCCAATGTATTGAGTACCATCACATTTGGGCCAGGTGAGTTTTGGTCAAGATAAAGATGGGGCTTTATAAGAAAGTTGCGTAGAAAAGAAGCAACTGATCATGGTGGTTAGGCGAACAGGCTTGAAAACACAGAACACAAGCAAACCACAAACGTGGGTTTTGACATGAGACAAATCTAAGTTCAGGTTCTACTCAGTAAGTTTGGACAAGTTACATGGCCTCTAACACTTTCAGTTTGGAGCCTCATCTATGAAACCTGAATACTCGTACCTACCTCTACAATTATTTTCTGGACTTAACAAGTTGATGCATATAATATGCTTTGTGATGAATGCTACCTGGTATTGTGATTATAATTAAAGTTTGGGGAAGTCTCAGTGGTGAAAGAGATGTTATTATGGACTGAAATAGTGTCATATGTTGAAGAGGAGGATGTTTAGCTATGATATAAGGTGTATTATGGCAAATGTCCCTTTGTTCTTAGCTCTAGTCTCTGACATTCGCTCTTACAGAATGCTGAGGCTTAAGTATTATACGGATTATAGTTTCTGACTAATCATCCCTGTGTTATATTTGCTTTGTGGAATATTACTCAAAGGCTTTAATATATGAGGAGTCAGCAGGGGTGTCATGGAAAAAACAAAAAGAAAACTGGGGGTCAGGACCACAGGTCCAGACCTGTGGCTGGATAGACATAGACATTCCTTCTCTCTGCCTCCCACCCTCCCAGGATTGTGTCTTCTACTTGCTTCTTTTACTGGGCTTATAATAGTGGTGATACTCACGCCTATAATCCCTGCACTTGGGGAGGCCAAGGTGGTGGATTGGTTGAGTCTGAAAGTCTGAGACTGGGCAACATGGCAAAACCCCATCTCTACAAAAATATAGCCAAGTATGACCGTGTGTGCCTGTTGTCCCAGCTACTTGGGAGGCTGAAGTAGGAGACTTGCCTGAGCCTGGGAGGTCGTGGCTGCAGTGAGCTGTGATCGCGCCACTGTGCTCCAGCCTGGGTGATGAAGTGAGATACTGTTTCAAAAAAAAAAAAAAGAAAAACAGTGGGACAGCTACCATTTGTAGAAAAGTTACCATGTAAATACATACTTCACACATACTATCTCACTGAAGTTACTGCTCATGCTAATGCTGTAAGGTAGATACTTTATTGTCATCCAACACATTAAAAAACTGAGGCTCAGACAGTTCAGTTGACTTACGAGAGGGACCTATGATTCCAAACAAGGATGTCTGATTCTAAAGCTTGAACCTTCTTACACACTTAGCGTAATGCAAATACATTTGTATTTGCAGTCACCAAAAACTTAAGCTTCTAAGGGCACAGATATTGTCTCATTCATCTGTTGCCAGTGAATAATAGCACCGGTACAGAGGAGATGCTCAGTAAGGGATGAATGAATAAATGAATGAAATGAAAGTTGTGTTTTGTCAATAGAAAAGTACTATATGATGGTTAGTGATTGCTGTTGTTTTTTTCTATTTTAAGCATGTCTTCCGATAATTCTCAACCCCACAATATAGAAAGGCCTTAGTTTGCACATCTGTAGATAGAGGGAAACAGGCTGAATTATCTCTAATGTCCTCAGCTCTGTGTTTCTGACAGATGAAGTAAGCATGATGAAGGAGAAATCAAGAGTTGAAGTTAAGGATATTATAGGAGATGAATAACAGACAGAAGGACACTCCAGGTTTTAAGAACCAACTGTACAATGTCCAGACCTCTGACTAATCAAAGTATGATGAGGTTAATGATGGGTTTGAATTCCTATGTATTCATCTTATTTCAGACTATGTTTACTTGGGCAAGCTACCTAAACTCTGTGACCTTCGACTTCATCATCTGGAAAATGGAAATGGTTTGCTTGTTGTGAAGAGTGGGGATAAAGTTTACAGAACATCTGGCATGAAGCGCTTGCTCAGTTCAGAGTTAACTTTATTGTCCTCACTTCATGTAGATATGCTTGAGCTCCTGGTTGATGTGTCTTAGCAAAATATTATCTTAATAATTATTGAGAGAGCCTGTTGGAAGGTGCAGACACACAACAGCACATAGTGTGGAAGCCTATTTTCCTGCACACATGACTTACCAGAAGAGATGTCATAAAACCATTTTTTGATAACTGTCCTCAGGTAATTACTCTGGAGTTTCACTGTGAAAGAGCTCATGGAATTGGGTGGGAAGAGGGTCTTGGACCCTGGCCAAGCTATTATTGAATGTTGGCAATGCCAGAGACTCGGTGCTCATATTATTCTAACAACAATTTCGGACATGAACTCTTAGTGGGTGATTATGATCATTTGTTGAATATCTCTTGCTTATCAAACCCTGAATTAGATGCTTCACACATATTATCTGATTTATTTATCATAATACCCTGTTGGGGTGGTTATTTTTAACTTATTTTTCCCTACCTGAGAAAACTGAGTCTCAGAAAGGAGAAGTAATTTGTCTCAGGACTTAAATGGATGGAGTCAGAATTTACATTTAGGAATACTGCTATTCTTTTCTCCTGAGTCCAGTGATTTGACTTTCCGGGAATGTAGATGAAACCAGACAGCGGATCTTGGAATTGTGGATACTCAAAGCCACTGGGGTCTGCACAGCTACATATTTGAATCTGCTTTTTCTCTTTTTAGGTCAGGATCGCAGTGAAGCCACTTTGATAAAGAGGTTTAAAGGTGAAGGGGTCCGGTACAAAGCCAAATTGATCGGGATTGATGAAGTTTCCGCAGCTCGGGGAGACAAGTTATGTCAAGATTCCATGATGAAACTCAAGGTGCTATGCAAACGTTTTCTTTTCAATACTTTGTGTTTAATGTGAATGAGGAAAAGAAGTGATTACCATCATAATTGTAAATAACTTTATTCATTTATTGGTAAATTACTTGGCTTACTGTTGAATCACCATATTTTTTCATTCGGAAGATATTTCAATCATTCAGCAAATGTTTGTTGAGCACCTACTATGTGGAAATATTTTGGTAGGCCCAGGTTTACAATTTTTGAGTGTATCACATTTTATTCCATTTTATTTTCATTTTGCAACTCCTGCAAAAATAAAAGCAAAAAATTATCAAATTGTTTTGTCACCCACATTTTATGAATTTTGCCATCTTGTTATTTTTGAATAAATAATATATATTTTTGCCATATGGTAAGAGATGTTAAGATAAAAGTTGATTTTATTCATTCTTACAGTTTCTACAAATGTACCCCAAGCACTTTAAGATAATATCCTTAAAGTAAAATGTAATTATATTTTGGGATTTGGGGATATCATGAAGAGATTTCTGATTTTAAATGCTATAAAGAAGCCTTTTCTCTGAGGAATCTAAGAAAGAAATTAGATTTTTTTTTTCTTTTTTTTTTTTTGAGAAGGAGTCTCACTCTATCGCCTAGGCTGGAGTGCAGTGGCGCAATCTCGGCTCACTGCAACTTCCGCCTCCTGGGTTCAAGCAATTCTCCTGCCTCAGCCTCCTGAGTAGCTGGGATTACAGGTGCACACTACCAGGCCTGGCTAATTTTTGTATTTTTAGTAGAGACGGGGTTTCACCATGTTGGTCAGGCTGGTCTCGAACTCCTGACCTCATGATCCGTCCGCCTCGGCCTCCCAAAGTGCTGGGATTACAGGCGTGAGCCACTGTGCCCGGCCAGAAATTAGAAATTTTTTAAATATACAAAATAAATTATTTTATTAAACATCCTTAAAAGCATACAAAAATAACACTTTTCTCAGATTCTGATGTCCATATATTGTTTCTTTTAAAAAGTTATAAAATATTGAAAAAATAAATGGTTTAGCAAGAAGTATACAAATATCATATGTATTTCAAACATATATTATTTATTTTTCTGATTACAGAGTTCACTTATGTGCATTATGGAATATTTTGAAAATACAGAAAAATGTAAGGAAGAAAACTGAAATAATCCACAATCCCACAAAGACAATCAGTGTCAATATTTTTGTGTATAATTTACAAGTTCTTTTTGTGGTTTTACATATATAATATATGAATTATACACATATATGTAATAAAATTGGAATTAAAATTTATACAGTTTCCTGTCTTGGGACTTTTTCCCCTTCATCTAACAATATATATGAGCATATATACATATACATAAACATATATATATACATATACATATACATAAACATCTTCAAATAGCCCATGAAGACATGACTTTGTCAATGAAATATTTTCAAATGTAAAAGAAAGAAAAGGAAAAAAAAAAGCTTGTTAGGTGTGTAAAAGTATTAAAGCCTGTAAAATGCATAAATGTAAAATGTGATAAAATCGGCATCACCTTTACTTTCATAGATGCTGAGTAAATCAGTTATTATTTTTGTTTATGCTATACAAAATTTCTAGTAGGTTAGCATATATATCAGATGCTATATTTCCTTATAGTATGGCTCTAAGAATCATGATTTTTAAAACTTAATTTTCTACACTGGATATTCATTTATATGTCTTCTTTTTATTTGTTAACCTGTTATATAAACAAACTTTAATAGTTACGTATTTACTATAAAGTATACTAGAAAAAGGCATAAAAGACATCAATACCATGATTTCACAATCACCTTGGAAGAAGTTAGTGCATCTTTTTTTTTCAATAATTAAGCAATGTTATACAATTTTAGGGTAGTCCAATGATGAGCTTTCTTCTCCCAAGTTCAAATCTGAGTGATTAATAGACAAGAGTTGGACAGGAAGAATTCCAAACTCTAGCTTTCTGACTGATAAATGCTGGCCTGGAGGATGTGACTTGGATACACAGCCACAGTGAGCTTTCTTGAATGAGATGAGCTATTCCACTTGGCTTGCAGGGGTGTTGGACAACTGCAGATCCCCCTGTTCTCCCAACCCCTGCCCTTGCCCAGAGTAGGACCCATGACTCGTGCATGAGATCAGATGAGAATGCAGTCTGTCTTTCAGCAGGCAAATTGCACAGAAAGCCCCAGAAGAGACTGATCTTTGTATGTTCAGCTGCTGCTTCAAACTCTCCAATTAGATAGAGCCATACCTTCCATCCCAAGCGGACCCTAGTCAAAGATGGGGATAAGGGCCAAGATCTTGATTATTGCTGAAGTCCCTCCTCAATGAATATGAAGTCTGGCAAGTGGAGATTTGCTCTAACAAATCTTAATTAAAAGGCATGAAGAAAATGCAAAGATCTGGTTCTCATCCAGAGCCACAAATCTGCTGAGGAGGAGAAAAGAGCTCATGCTCCCAGCATCTGGGAGATGACCATTCACCAGGATCGGTCACACAGCACCTCAATGGCCAGCTGCCTTCTTGGAAACACTGAGGACTAAAAGGATTTGGCCTCTGCTCCCTGAACATTCTCGCTCAGGATTAACATTGGCCCAAGCTAGCTGGACTAGGCCTAGCAATGGCTGCCAACCGTGTGTGTGTGTGTGTGTATGTGTGTGTGTGTGTGTGTGTGTGTGTGTGTGACCTGCAGTGAAGTGCTCCATCTGTCACCTCTTATAACCATGAGGTCCCCAAAGCCCTGAGAGTTTGTCCTACTATAACATACTCCTGTCAGATGCACTGAACTTGTTGAGGGGTCCTTGATTTCCAGACAATTGTGTTTCATTATTTGCAGGTTTCTGAGAAGAATGTTGACATTTCAGCTCCCAGTGGTTTTTCTTTAGGAAACACAGAAACATAAATGATCAATTCTCCATTTGGCCATCTGCCAGGAAAGTAAGAGAGAAGTACAAAATACCTCTTACCCTTCCAAAAAGGCCCACTTACTCACGTTAGGCCATATGAGAAATAAAAAATTCTGTTTCCTTTGCTAGACTCTCTGAAGCTGGTGCGTGTTCTTGCATTAGAGAGTTTTCTCTTGGATTGTAGGGGATTGAGAGGGGATTCATATAATGAGTATGAGTGACCCATTGCCTGTCTACCAACAAAGCATCATGATCATGATCATCATCATCATTTGTTGACATCATATTTTAATTTACAATCCATAAAGCATTTTCACATATATTATATCTTTTGATCATATGAGATACATATTAGCTTCCCTGTTTTGTGAAGAAGAAATCTGAGGGTCAGAGAAGTTAAAGTATTTGCCTCATAGCCTTCATTTAATCTATGATAAGATGAATTCTAACCCAGACACCAAGAGGGCCTGTGTTCGACAAGACACAGTTTTGCCCGTAATTGTATTCTGTTTTGTATTTGCGTTTAATTTATTGAGGTTCCCAAACTAGATCTTAAGCTCCCACCAGTAAGCTACTACCCAGTAGTCACATCATGCACCATTGACTTCTAAAGTAGTCAGCTTTCGGAGACGGTGGCAAAATGGTGGTGATTGAAGTTAAGGAAAAGGATGAGGTCTCCAAAGGCAGTGCCTGGAGAGCTAAGTGCAGAACCTTAAGTATGTCAGTCAGAGTCCTGAAAGAACCAAAATCTACCCCAGAAAGACCAGATGAGGATACTTTAATGAAGGAGTTACTTCCAATGGGTGGGTAAATTTAAGGTAGCAAATGAGGGGTGGTGAGGTACTCAGAATCTAGCAACAGTGGGAAGCTATTACCACTCCTAGGAAGATATATATTTACTGAAACACAGGGAGAGCAGAATTGATAAGAAAGTCTCCCTTTCTCACCACACAAAATATAGCTACTACCAGAGATGCAAATGAAGGATGATAAGGGAGTGGGGAGCAATGCCCTGACCTCTCTCTCCTACCCACTGATCTCCTGCCTCTGCCTTGCATTGGTGGAACACAACTGGAGCCATGGAGAAGGAGGCTCAGGAGATCAGAGAATGCAGTTCTAGTCTGTAGGAATCAGTCTCTGGTCAAAAACAGGACAGAGAAAGATACTTATATTCCCCTTTTTAACTGGGAAAAATGAAACTTAGAATGAATTTTTTCCCTTTGGTTCATATAGCTGGTAACTAGCTAGAACTGAGAATGGAGAATGGAGACCGGGCTTATTACATGGGGCTTTCTGGAATAGCGTTCTAAGGTTTTCAGAATTCATGCCTGAAGCCTGCTGCATTTACACATATGTTTTACATGTTCCCTGGAGAGCACAGTCATAACGTTGGGTGCATGTACTGTGCTGTGTGAATGTTCTCAGAGCCCTTTCATGTACATCATACATCTGATTCTCAAAGCAACCCCTGAGCTGAACAGGGCAGCCTGTGACTCTTGCTTGGCATGCCTGACCTTTTCTCTATATGTAACGTCCTCCATCGAGATACTGCCTACTTGTGACTCCCTTGAGGATGCCTGTGTCAATCATTTCACACAGTGCCTAGCACGTGGTATTGCTTAATCATATCAATATTAGGTCTCAAAAGTATAACTGTTATTTACTGAGCCCTCCCTGCATACTGTGCGAAGTGCAGTAGATGCATAGTTTGCTTAAGTGTCCCAACACTCTTATGAGGTGAGAAACGTGAATATTATTCTCATTTTGGGGTTCCTCTTCAGCACTAAGTTTGGAAGCTGTTGGTTCTACCTAGCTATTTTCATAAACTTTTGGACATATTTGTAGCATGCATCATTGGTCATTTTTTAAAAATCTGTTTCCCAAAAAGGGGCTCTTAAAGAAGAGAGGATTGTAGTAGAAGGATTCCTACCTTGAGAATCAGAAAGATCACTGTTTGACTTTCAGTTCTATGACTTATTAGCCCCTTTAGGTTCTAGGAGGACATTTGATCCCCTGGCCTTATGTTTCCTCATCTGTAGAATGAGGGAGGTAATTCTTACTTCCCAGGATTGTGATATTGACTAAATTATACGATGGGTAAGAGAACCTCTAGCATAGGCACCCAAGGAAATGTTTGACTCTCTGGTTTCCAGTTTCCAGTGGTGACTTACTAGGTCAGGTGGCTAATGTCAGGCACAGAGTCCATAACAGGACCTATATCCACTTCTTTTGACTCCCTAACCAGAGCTGTCTCCTGGGCCTCTGTTAGTTCTGCACAGTGGCCATGAATAATCTTGTGGGGAGATGAGCCCGTCAGTGTCCTGAAGGCACTGTCTTGTGGCAGGCCCACTCTAGACTGAGTGCAGTTTTTCAGAGCTTGACCCAGAGTCCTGTCTCACAAGAAAAACATGCTTGATAAGATGGGACTTTTCTTTCCCCAAAGATAGCACCTTATGGATTGTCCTTCTCTTTTTCATTTGTCATGTAAAGTCACCATCAGCAGCCCCAAGTGGAAATGCTCCTGGAACATGTATGTTGGCTTTTTCCATCCTTCTTTACCTACAGCCATATTCTACCAGGGAATTCTTTGGTAGCTACTTGACACCAGCAAGCAAAGGGGGCCTTAGTATCTAATCAGCACTACTATATGCTAGGAATTAATTGCTATTTGATATTCCAGGAAATCTGTTAGCTAGGAGCTGTTAGGACTGTTTTGGAAATGGAGACACTGAAACTTCTCTCCCTGACCAAAGGTGTAGCCCTATCCCCACCCTGTCCTGTGCTCTTCTCACCTAAAGGAAGAAGGAATAAAACCAGAAGGAGAGAGTCTCCTCCGCTTTGACAGTCCTTTCAGTACTTTCCTTTAGGAGGTCACTTCTTAGTCCGTTTGTGCTGCTGTAACAAAATGCCTGAGACTGGGTAATTTATAAAAAACAAATTTGTTTTCTCACAGTTCTGGATCCTGGGAAGTCCAGGATCAAGGGGCCAGCAGGTTTGGTGTCCAGTGAGGGCCCTGATCTCTCTGCTTCCAAGATGGTGCCTGTTACTGCATCCTCCAAAGTGGATACATGCTGTATCCTCAAAACAGAAGGGCAGAAAGGGGAATGAACTCCTTCTCTGAAGCCTTTTTATAAGAACGCTAATCCCCTCTATGAGTGTTCTACCCTTATCACTTAATCACCTCCCGGTACTATCACTCTGGCAATGAAGATTCAACACATGCATTTGAGGGGACACATTCGGCCACCATCAAGGGGCTAATTATTTTTCTGATTTGTATGTATCCTGGATAGCTGAGATTGAAGATTGGGGTGGAAAGGGATAGTAACATGTATTATTTTACTCCAAATCTATCTGAGAACACAGATTTAAAAGTCAAGTGAGGGAAAGTCACTTTCCTTCTCTTTGAGTTCCTGCTTTACACTAGGCTCCATTCTCAGCCCTGGGCACAAACCAAATAAAAAAAGTTCCATGCACAACTGAACTTTTGTTCTATTAGGCAAAGGCAGACAATCAATGAATGAATTTGCGAAATGTCAGATGGTGGTAACTTCCAGGAGGAAATTGAAGCAGGAAAAACAAAGGAGATGCAATTTGGCATAAAGGGTGTGCTGTGTTGGCTAAGAGGGTCAGAGAGGGTGGCATTAAACAGAAATTAGGAGTTACCTCTGGGATTCCAAAGACATACTTTGGCCATTTCTGCATGTTCCTTAAAAGCATCCCACAGTGAATTCATGGGAAAACAAGGAGCACATTGAGCAATCTAGAAACCATTGAATGCGGGGAGGGATTGAAGAGACAGAGAACTCTGCTTTGTATGTGAGTTAAGAGTTACTCTAACCTTTTAGAGAGCAGTTGCTGGAGGAGGGGTCTTATATCAATATGGAGCAGCTTTGAAAGGCTGAAAGAGGAAGATTGGAAGGGGTTGTAGGGAGAGAGACTTAGGCTCCCTAGAAGGAAAACACAATATAAAGGATAATCACTGGTCCCGGCACCAAGTGCTAGGAGAGCTGAGTTATAGTCTCAGCTCTTTGACCAATTCCCTGTGCTGTCTCAGGACGGTCTACTACCTTTCAGTTCATCATTTTTCTCATCTGTCAGTTGAGAAAGTTGGATCTATTAGTTTTAAGGTTTTCTGTGGTGCTATACATTCTGCATGTCTGTGAGTCTGCAAGACGTGCTTGAGAATGAATGGGTGATGTGTGAAAGAGGGAATTTCCTCCTAGCAGGTGTCTAAACAGGAACTGAAACACAAACTGTAATGGACATTCATGTATTTTCTAGAAGAAATTAATTTTTATTATATTTCTTCAGTATACCAGGCATTGTGCTAGGTACTTTAAATAAATGTTTATTTAAGTCTCTTAACCATGCAAAAAAATGATGGATTTTACACTGGAGGAAGTGAAACTAAGAGGTTAAGTAATTTGTCCAAGATTATACAGAACCAGGAGTATAACTTAGATATTCTGATTCCACAGAATATTTCCAATACCCAAGGTGAGGATAATCAAACATCCTCAACAGAATGTGCCTTCCTCATACCTCTGGTCATACCTACTGCTCTCTAACACCAACCATTCCCCAAAACTGATGCTGAGAATAGCACATAGTACTTTTTGTCTCCTGGAAATATGAAATCATTATTTTAGACTTTTCTTCTTCTAAAAGCCCAGAACCATAACTGCTGAGAGTTGGGCTTAATCTTGCCATCTTTAGAGGCTGGCAGTAATGAGCCTCTGCCAGGCTGGAAGTCTCAAGGTCCCTAATGCATGGTCAGCAACAGCACCTCAGGGTGTAGATCCCTTGAAAGGTCTTTATCTCCCGAGTTGTACCCTAGTATGGAGCCCATGCTTTCCTGCAACTGGCCAACACAGAATCTAATTTCGAAAGCAAGTGTCTTTACTCTTAACTTGAATCATATCAACTTTGGAGGACTCTGGATAGCACATATTCATCTAGCAATTATTTGCTAAGCAGACCTGCCCTCCACGGACTGTCCTAAGCACTAGAGATAAAGCGGTGGACAAAGTAACACCCCAACCTTTTGTGAAGCTTACCTTCTCACTAACTCATAGACATATCTTCGGCTTATAAAACATTTGAGACAGTGAGGAAACAGTTTTTTTGATAAATGGAATGTGAGAATGAGAGGAACAAGGGTAGTGGTAAACACAAAATATCTTTGGATAAAAATTATAATCAATAGGCATTTAATTATATTGATCACATTTTTTTCCAGCAAAATGGACAGTCTAGCATTTGTTTTTATTTTCTATTATCTAAAATTGATTCATATGAAAACTTTTTCCAGAATTATAAAAAATAAAATTATATGTAGGAATATACTTAGCAGCTCACCTTCATTTAAAAGATTGAAACCATATCTAATATAAAACCCAGAAAAGACATTAATATGAAAACCATATTGTGTCTATCTTGGGACCCCCAATTCTGAGCTGAACATCTAGACACCATTCTATAAATTTTGATTAGTTAAGTGAGTGAACATTCAAATATTTCTCTATACAATGTGTTAGAAACACTAGGACAAGCATTACCCTAAAACACCAAGGAGATGTGAGCCGCATTGAGTAGAGAAATATGGAAGTGCGAAGGGAAAGCAGTGTGCATGATTGGTGGCATTGGTTGATGGTATCGGACATACCTTTGGGACCAGAGAGAATTTTCAAATGAAAACACTTAAGTAAAAACCATGTTCTTCCTTTCAACAGGGCGTTGTTGCTGGCGCTCGTTCCAAAGGAGAACACAAACAGAAAATCTTTTTAACCATCTCCTTTGGAGGAATCAAAATCTTTGATGAGAAGACAGGGGTAAGTAAAGCAATCACATGGCATTGTGAAATTTTATCCATTGACAGATGTACCCTTAAAAGCCTCTACTCTCTGGGCAGGAATATACAACAAGCATAAAAACACATAAAGCAACTGACAAACTTGATCAACTCTGATCATCCATCAAAGCAGGTCTCTTTGCTGACTTGGCCACAGTATGGCTGCACTGTGTTTCTTATAGTGTAATGGTGATAAAAGTGTCACACTATCCTGGTAATCTGATGGGAGATTGATGAGCTTTGAAGATCAATGGGTAATGTGACAGTTTAAGTTAAATTTCTTTGTGCGTTGGCAACTTTAATGACATACGTCCTAGAGGGAGATACATGTACATCTTTTGACTCGGTCAAAGCATCCAGACTCTCTTGAGTTTAACCTGGAGCACCTTGCAATTGCTGTAATCAAAAAGAATAAATGGAGTTCTCAATCTTAAAAAAGAAATCTATCACTGCACGACCAGGAAATTTAAGGGCTGATACGTTTGTTGAACCCACCAAAGAAGTGGTTTGTGTTTTCATCAACCTTACAGCTGCAATTAACTCCCAGATTCATCCCCAGAGCTCTCCTGACACTGTCAGTCCTGTTCATTTGGGGTAAGAGGAAAATAGAAAAACCTTCTATGATCCGTTTTCCAAGAGAACAAGAGTCAAATAGATGTCTTTTTCCTTATATTTATTCAGTGTTTTACAGCTTATAAAACACCTCCACATATATCACCTATCATGTACTTCACAAAGGTAATTTATCAAGCACTTTATAAACAATACTTAACCAGCGGAGTTACATTACCTTGGTCATTTTGCATTATTATTTTCTCTTCCTTGTTCTGACTAGTATGAAGATAACATAAGGGTAGTAAGATGGTAGTTTAAATGTAAAAATGGATTTTCTTGAAGAAAAAAGGTATAGAAAAATTACTCCTAAATAACTAGTAATAGAATGGATATTTGTACACCTCTGATCATAACGGCATTACTTTCAGTAGCCAAAAGGTAGAAGCAACCCATGCCTGTAGATGGATGAATAGATAAACAAAATGTTGTATATACATACAGTGAAATTCTATGGAGCTCTCAAATGGAAGAAAATTCTGACCTGTGCTACAATGTGTATGAGCCTTGAAGACATTATGCTGAGTGAATTAAGCCAGGCACAAAAAGACAAATATTGTATGATACCATTTATATGAATTACTTAACATAGTCACAGTCATAAAGACAGAAAGTAGAATGGTGATTGCCAGAGGCTAGGGAAAAGGAAAAATGAAGTGTTATTATTTAGTAGGCATGAGGTTTCAATTTGGGAAGATGGAATCTTTTAGAGATGAATAGTGGTTTTGGTTGCACAAAAATGTGAATGTATGTAATGCCACTGAGCTGCACACTGAAAAATAGTTAAAATGGTAAATTGTATGTCATATATTTTACCAAAATAAAAAATAGCTAGGTGTAACTCGCATTATTGAGTACCTCCCATGTACTAGCTGTGTGTTAGTCAGTTTACATACATTATTCAGTTTCATTCTTGCAACATTCCTATGAGGTGATACTAACAATAGCTACTTTATCAAATACATATTATGTGCCAGGCATTGTGGTAAATATAAGTACCAGGTCATTTAATCCTCACAACAACCCTAGGATGTAGATGGTACTATTATTCTCATTTTATTGTTGAAGACAGCAAGGACAGAAAAGTTTACATAACTTGCTGGCAGTAAGGGGTGACAGAGGCAGGATTAGAACCTAGGCGGTCTGGCTCCTGAGTCCTTTTGTTTAACAATGATGCCTATTATCTCTCAAGATAAATCTTTTCTAACTTCACCCACGTTTTGTATTCTTTTTCTTTTTAAACTTAGGTTCAGGGGTACATGTGCAGGTTTGTTATATAGGTAAACTTGTGTCACAGGGTTTGTTGTACAAATTATTCTGTCAGCTAGGTACTAAGCCTAGTACCCAATAGTTATTTTTTCTCTTCCTCTCCCTCCTTCACTACAACCTCCGCCTCCCAGGTTCAAGTAATTCTCCTGCCTCAGCCTCCCAAGAAGCTGGGATTACAGGTGTTCACTAGCACGCCCAGCTAAATTTTTTTGTATTTTAATAGAGACAGGGTTTCACCATGTTGGCCAGGCTGGTCTCGAACTCCTGACCTCAGGTGATCCACCCCACCTTGGCCTCCAAAAGTGCTGGGATTACAGGCATGAGCCACCGCGCCCAGCCTTAACAGTCTTTATATGAGTTGTCAAGTAGGAAGAGGAGCTGACTTGCTCTGTGTGACCTCAAGGAATGGAACCAAGACTAATTGATAGAAGTTTTAGGAGGTGGTTTCTGTTTATCAGTAAGAAGGCTTTTCTATCAGTCGGCAGTTAAATGGACTGCCTTCTGTGTGAGGGAGTTCACCGTCGCTGGGGGTATTCAAGCAACAACCATCTGATGAGATATTGTTGAAGAAAGTCAAGTAGAGGATAAAGTGCTGGACAAAGTCACATCTAAGTTGAGTCCAGAGACTAATTTTAAGATTATGTTTTCTCTTAAAGTCATATCTATTGATGCTTTTTATTTGAAAAATCTCTACTGGAAATTATGAGCAGGAACAGTTTACTAAACCTTAGTCATTGCCCAGCAGGGGACTGACTCAATGTTCAGCATGGGTTCTAAATGAAGTTTTTTTTTCCATATCAAAGAAGTGGAAAACTGGGCCTTTATCATTTGGAATGACAGTCTTAGTTGTTTATCTCATCTGTGGTATTTTTGCTCAAGCTTGACTGCACTTTTTTTAAAAACCAAGAAAAGAAACATTTGCAGAACGTGACAATAGCTAAAATCCAAAAGCTGTCAAAAATGTTTTGATCCCAATTAAAGAGACCCTTTGCAGCAATTTACACCCTGTCTTGAATTTCAAAGAACTCCTGATCCCAATCCTTATGTGAGTGAATTTTGTTTTATTATTAGCTTGTTGCAGGGAATAAATCAATAGTGAAAGCTGTTCATACATTTAGATACCTAGATATTGCTAATATATCATGATGTTACTAGGTCTGTAGACCAGACAGATGGATGACGAGGAAGGAGTTATGTCATCTTCATTTTGCAGATAAGGGCAGTGAGGTTCTGTGAGTGTCCCTGACCTGACTGTTGACTCAGAACAGACTTTTCAACTCCAAGGCTTTCTAGTGAACCTCACTGACTCTATTCTCTCTCCATTCACCATGTTAATCCATAGAATTATTACAACTTTATATCATAAAAAATGATATATACTGCAGGACTCTAAAGGTAAGTCTGTTTCTTAGGATGAAGGGCAGTGGTCTGCATCAACTTTTCAAGATGTCGCAACATCCTTGTTGCCACAGAAACGTGAATTTTGCTTATTCATTTGAATGAGCCAACACTTACTTAGAGCTATTAGACACACCAATCTAAGTATGCTACGGCAATTCTATGAAGTAAATGCTATTATTATCACCATTTGGCAGATGGGAAAGCCAGGGTCCATATAATTTAAGTCACACAGCTAACAAATGGCAGAGCTTGGTAGCTTGGTCCAGAATCTCTGATACTAGTGAGGTGTTACTAATAATAGCATACCAAATTTTATAAATGATTTTATAAAATCATTTGATGCTTTTATCTATATTAGAGCAGATTCCCTATTATCTCTGTCTTATTGTCACTGTTATTCACTTTCATTCTGATGAGCTTTCCTGAGTGAAGACAAAAGGGGTGGAGTTACAACTGGGGCTGCTTCGTCCATAGTTTGTCTTGGATAGATAGAATGTTGACAGTATAACCCATATATGATTAGACAATACAGGTTGAGTATCCCTTATCTGAAATGCTTGGGACCAGAAGTGTTTCAAATTTTAGAGTTTTTCAGATGTTGGAATATTCGTATTATATTTACTTACCAGCTGAGCATCCTAAATCCAAAAATCCAAAATGTGAAATGCTCCAATGAGCATTTCCTTTGAGCATCATGTCAGGGCTCAAAAAGTTTTGGACTTGGGAGAATTTTAGGTTTCAGATTTTTTGATTTGGGATACTCAACTTGTAACATATTAGATCCCTACTCTATGCCATGTGCAGCCCTGTGTTTCCTGAGGATTTGAAGATGAATTGGTCACTGTCCTTGCCCCTGAGATGCTCATAGTTCATTAGTGAACCCAGACTCACAAAGTGAATTCACAGCTGCCAAGATACTGGGATACTCTCACCTCCTACCTGCTATGCCTTAGTTATTTTGTGCACATTTGCCAATTCTTAATCACGAAGTCATTTCATTTTTTATGTAGTAAGTATTACTGGGCACCAGCTATGTGTGAGTCATTGTGTGATACAGATACAAGTGTGAACAGAGTTGTCCATGTTCAGAGACTGGGGTTTAACTTTGCCAAGAATGTTCCTGAAAAATTTCACTGACTTGGCAGTGGAGGAGTGAGTTGGAGAGGACCAGATAATTAAGTAAGGGAAGAGAAAACAGCATTTCTAAAGGCACAGATATATGAAAGAGAAAGATATATATATGCATTCACTCAGGAAATATTGGGTACCTGTATAAAGATAGAGATAAATAAGGCCCCATCTTTTTGTTCATCACTATTGTCTATCTAGCTAGCACAATGACTCACACATAGCTGGTGCCCGCTAATACTTACTACATAAAAACTAAAATGACTTCACGGTTAAGAATCAGCAAATGTACACAAAATGACTAAGGCATAACAGGTAGGAGGTGAGAGTGGCCCAGGATTCAATATTGTCCCTCAAAATAGATAGATAATTGTGTTTTAAATACAATAACTGCACTTAAATTTCAGGGCTGATTTAATAATTTATTCCTCAGTGAAAACCAGATGTCACCTTATTTGTGCCTCATCAAAAACAAGTCTGTTCTCCTTTCAGTTCAAACTGGATGTTTTGAGCAAGGTTTGGAGAGAGCAACTGAGGTTGAGAAAGGGAAATGTCCCAGGGAAGGAGTTAGGAAAAAGCTGAGGAGGCTGCAGAACGTCACACTGGGACCTGGTGTTCTCTGGGACTCAGAAGTATCTGGGATGTTGCTGTCATCCAGGTCAGTGAGACAGTGCACAGGACTCTCAAAAGACTGGGGATAAGGGCTAGCCTGTAAACATGACAGTGTGGTTTAGAGCAGGCTTTCATGGATCTGTCTCATTTACATCCAACAGTTCCTGGAATTTTTTATTATCCCCCTTTTATAGATGGATCAACTAAGGTACAGGTAGGTTAAATGACTTCATGAAGTTCCACCCTGGTCATTTGACCCCCAGGCTGCACTCTGGTCACCCAAAAGAAATTGAATTCAAATTAGAACTCTATAATACCTAAGCTTATTTTCTTTCTTTTGTTTCAGAGATTCTCAACTTGACTGGTTCTGTGTCTCTAAGGAGTGGTTAGGAAATGTGTGTAGGCAGTTTTGTAGTCACAACTTTTTGCAGAGGGGTTGGTAATGCAGAAATTTAATTGTTAAAAGCCAAGGCTGCTAAATAATCTGCAATATTCAGGGCAGACACATATGGCAAAAGATATTTTCCTATGCTATATGACTTTCTAATGTCTTTCTAGAAATTCATGTAGATGAAAAACCTGTTAGTAATTATGTGAATTTAAAAAGCTAACCCTATTTAGCACATAAACAAAGTATTTTACCCATATACATAATACCGAATTTTCCAGAAATGCAACTAGACTAAGAGAAAGATGAAATTATTTCTATTTAACCAAAATTTTATACCCATTTACTAACATCTCTCCAATCTCCCCACCCAACCCTCCCTCTGATAACCACCATTCAACTCTCTGCTTTTATGAATTCAGCATATAAGTGAGATCATGTGATATTTGTCTTTCTGTTCCTGGCTTATTTCACTTAACATAATATCCCCCAGGCTCGTCCATGTTCTCCAAATGACAGGATTTTCTTTTTTATGGCCTGATAGTATTTCATTGCATATATATACCACATTTTATTTATATATTCATTCGCTGGTACCACACTTAAGTTGATTCCATTTCTTGGCTATCATGAATAATGCTACAGTGAACATGGGAGTGCAGATAGATCTTCAATACACTGATTTCATTTCTTTGGATATGTACGCAGTAGTGGGATTTCTGGGTCATAAGGTAGTTTAAAGTAATTTTTCTTAATGTGTATGTATCTCTGTTTACTCATCCATAAGATGGAGATAATAAATGTACCTATGTCTTAGGGTTGGTGAAAGATTAATTTAATCCTCTAAGACTTAGAATAGTGCAGAGTAAAATAAAAAGCTCGAGGTGTTAAATAATATTACATTATTGGTTATATTGTCCCATCTCCTGTACAGTCTTTCTATGTCCTCTAAGCAGAATTAAGAAAGCCTTTTATGATGTCCCTACTTCATCTTCTGCTTGCTGTATCCTAGCACATGATCATCTGTGTCATACTGAGTTGACTCACACTCCCATCAGACTACAAGCTCCACACAAGGTACCCTGGATCATTTATTGTTGTATCGGCCAGGCCTGGCATAGGAAACCCTGGCATGTGACACAGATGCTAATCGGTCACTGAAGGTAAAAGGGAAGGCATTCAGGGATGGATAGAATGAAACACAGAAGGGAGGAACAGGGAAACAATGACTACGTCAGCTTACAATGAAATGCTAATTGTCTGGCCCTGATATTGGAGCCCAAGATGCTATATACCAAAGATGCTAGTTTTGCCATATAGACAGTAAAATATCCACGATTCAGAATTATCTAGTCATAGGATATCAGGGATGGAAGGTCCCTTAGGCATGAACTAACCCACACATTTGCGAATGAAGAGATCTGAAACCCAAAGAGAAGCGAGCCATGAGATCTCCCTATAAAGTATTTGCAAAATCCTAGACTTGAACATTGCTCTGGACAGATTTGAGTCATTTTCTG